>NC_000015.10:85683702-85835217 GCF_000001405.40 Homo sapiens | reverse complement strand
AGCTACATTGGCCCAGACGTCAGCAGCACATCATTCTTCAGGTGGCCCCTTTTGTGGTGATAATGACAAGAAAACTGTGACTAGTGCACAGGTGGAAACCAGAACCAGAAAGGAAAAAGGGGTGGGCATTGTCTGGGGTTGCAACTGACAGAGTGGGTATGTGTGTGAGGCTCCCTCTGAGATCTCCCATGAATGAGTGAAGACCCTTGAAGGCTAATGTTCTTGTCTAGGGGGATGAGTGGCTCGGAACCTGCAATTTGGGCACAAGGGTAAGTGTGACTTCATTTTGCAATCACCACCAGATGGACAGATGAGATCCAGGGAATGGGGAAGTTTGGGGCTGGGAACTCACATGATGAGGCTGCTCAAGGCATCTGCAGAATAACCCTGAGGCTGTAGGTGTTGGGCTATTCCGAACTCCCTCTCTGGGAGGTTTTCATCCATGAAGGTAGGGCCTGAGAAAGGATACAAATGTGCAGAGCTGAGAGTTTGCAAAGCAAGGTTGAGTTCAGAAAAAATATCCTGGCCGGGCACAGTGGCTCATGCCTGTAATCCAGCACTTTGGGAGGCGAAGGCGGGCGAATCTCT
The DNA here is from genome assembly GCF_000001405.40 of Homo sapiens. Taxonomy (NCBI): domain Eukaryota; kingdom Metazoa; phylum Chordata; class Mammalia; order Primates; family Hominidae; genus Homo; species Homo sapiens. The sequence goes on along the minus strand of NC_000015.10, from coordinate 85,834,629 downwards.
TGAGCTCAGGAGTTCAAGACCACCCTGGGCAACATGGTGAAACCATGCCTCTACTAAAATACAAAAAATTAGCTGGGCATGGTGGTGCACGCCTGTAGTCCCAGCTACTCGGGAGGCTGAGGCATGAGAATCATTTGAGCCCTGCAGGTGGAGGCCGCGGTGAGCCGAGATCATGCCACTGCACTCCAGCCTGGGCAACAGAGAGAGATTCCATCTCAAAAACAAACAAGAAAGAAAGAAAAGAAAAGAAAAAATATCCCAGACAGACTCAATCCAAGTTCCTAGCCGTGTGGCCTTGGAGAAGTCACTCTCTGAGCCTCAGATGTTTCATCTGTAAGACAGAAATATTCTCTCTTCCTCAGGACAAACAAGGGGAGAGGTCTATTTATCCAGCAAAACCCTCCACCCTGCCACAACCCCCACCTCCCCCATAACCTTTCTCCAGGAAATGATATTCAAAAAACAAAGTCTTCCAGCTCCGACAAGGCCCCAGAGCAGAATCACCAGTTCACTGGACAATAACCTCAGTGACGTGATTTTTCCTCCCAGAACATATGGCAAGTGGGCCAGAGCTGGAGAAGTGGGAGCAGCCGCTGCAGAGGCCGGTCTTGAGAATGTCCTCATTTTGCAGCTGACCAACAGCTTCCCCTGGCATGTACAGGCAGGAGCAGCCCCTCTCCTTTCTAGCTGGGAGGAGAATGCCCACAGGCTTAGAGCAGCTATGCCAAAGCCCATCTTGGCCATTGGCAACACCCCACCCACCCACAGGGGTGCCAGAGGACTTCTCCCTGAGCACCAGGTCCAGGTGCCATGTGGCATTCTCTGGGTAGACACCGGCTCTCCCAGCCTCTCCGCCCACCTGCCCCTTCCCCATGAGGACACTGGCCACCCTCCTTCCCCTTCCTGTTCTGTCTTCCACTCCCTCTGGCTTCATAGACACCGCCAGGGCTTGTTCTCCTCCATCTCGGTCAGGCACTATGCCCTGAGGTTGGCACTAAATGGTGGGGGAGTCAGACCACCTCCAGAGCCCCTGCACGGTGGCCCAGAGTATGTGAACAAGGTGCTTTCCTGGAAGAACATCTCCCTTAAAAAGGTCACTCATACCAAAACTTGGGCATTCTTTTTACATTTTATAGAAAAGAAAAAGGATGACGGGCTTGGTGGCTTATGCCTATAATCCCAGTACATTGGGAAGCCGAGGCGGGCGGATCACTTGAGGTCAGGAGTTCGAGACCAGCCTGGCCAACATGGCAAAACCCCGTCTCTACTAAAAATATAAAAATTAGCCTGATATGGTAGTGCGTGCCTGTAATCTCAGCTACTCAGGAGGCTGAGGCAGGAGAATCACTTGAACATGGGAGGTGGAGGTTGCAGTGAACCAAAATCACATCCCTGGAAATCAAAAAAACAAAAAAAGAAAAGGAAAAGGAGGCACCATTCAATTCAGCGTGAATTTATCAAGCATCTCCTCCATGCCAGGAACTCTCTGGACACTAAGGATGCTGTAAGTGACATTCCCTGACCTCATGGAGCCCAAGGAGATTAAATGACCCCTATAACCTAAGGCAGTTTTTCAAATGTCTTCAAGCCTCCTGATGTGTACAAAAGGTAAAAACCCTGGTACCTCTGGTGGAAGAAGCCAGAGCGATCACTGTTTCTCACCCCAGGACTCCGGGAAGTTCTCAAATCACCATGCGGGGTCTCCTGCAAGATCTTGAAAAGTAATAACAGCTAGTGTGTATTAAACACTTCTTAGGGGCCAGGCACTCTTCTAAAAACATTAGCACCTGAACTCTCAGAACAAACCCATCATGTAGGAACTATGATCCCCATTTTACAGATGGAAAGGAGATCACAGAGAAGGAAGTCACTTGCCACAAGGGCTGACTCCAGGGCCCATGACTTGTGTTCTCACCTGGCCTAGCTGCTGCACAGAGCTCCTCACAAGCCGTGAAGAGCAGCGCCAGGAAGCCCCACCGCATCACCTCCATTCTGATGATGATGGTGGTGATGGTGGTGGCAGTGGTGATGAGGTAACTCTTAGTTCCTTTATTTCCTGCAGAGAATGGCTGGTTCCTCTAAATGGCTTGGTGATTGTTTTGTTTGTTGGGTGTTTTTGAGAAAGGGTCTGACTCTGTCACCCAGGCTGTAGTGCAGTGATGAAATCGCAACTCACTGCAGCCTTGATCTCCCAGGCTCCAGCAATCCTCCCACCTAAGCCTCCCAAGCAGCTAGGACAACAGGTGTGTGCCACCACACCCAGCTAATTTTTCTATTTTTTGTAGAGACACAGTTTCACTATGTTACCCAGGCTGGTGTCGAAATCCTGAGCTCACATAATCCTCCCGCCTCCCAAAGTGCTGGGATTACAGGCGTGAGACACCACGCCCAGCCTAATTTTTCTTAATGTACATTTTCATTTTACCAGTGCTATTGTAAGTGCTTTTTGCTGTAACACATTTCTAATACATTTTAAGCAAATGCGGCATTAATTTTGAAGGAATGATCCTTTCTTGTGAAGACCCTTATTCAGCCATTCCCAGGAGGGAGGAGGGACAAAGAGAGACTGAGAGACAGAGAGTGCAGGCGTTCGCAGACAGGAGACAGAATAAGAGAACATTTGCTAAAGAAATGACCCAGGCACTCAGTAAATGTTAGAAGACACGCGAGGGGCTTTTCCAGCGGTCAGTCCTGGCTGTGAATCTCAGTCCCACCCTGTGCCAGATGACATGTCGGACCAACTACATAAATCCTCCGAGCCTTGGTTACCTTGTCTGCAAAGCAAAAGATCTCATTGGGGTTTTCTCCCACATTAAAGGAAACAACCCCACTTTGCACAAAACCTGGAACAGAATAGGAATGCAGTGTGTGCCTTATTCAACCCCTTCTGGACCCTGAGTACAAGACTGAGAATGTCAGCAGAGGGCGCTGGCTGGTCTGGGTCCCTCAATCTGGGAAGCGTGCAGTGTGGATTCAGCGTGGATCCTCTGTCTTGTGGGTGGAGGGCTGAGGACTTTAAACCATGGTCAGATTCCCCCGCCTGTGGGCACTGTGCTGGGGACGGAAAACAGAGCTCTCTGAAGGTGCAATTACACGTCATTTGCATATCTTATAGAGAACAGATGCTCCTTTCCATCGGGAAACATTCCCATATGGTCTGGCCTTGTCGCAATTTCCAACAAGGGCTGGTTTTAAGTTTTGCAATTAAAGGTGTCCCTTGGCCACAGCCAGAAAACAAACTGAGTTTTCATTGAGCCCTGGAGGTGCCTTTGTTTTGCCTCTGACAAGAAGGAAGCCAGCCCTCTGGGCCCCAGGGCCCTGCCAGCTCTCCCTGAGGTCCCCAATTGAGGGAAGGGTTGGGGCCTTCCCTTTAAGGGTGGCTGGCAGTCCCAAAAAAAAGGCTGCGCTAGGGGGATTGGGAAGGGAATGGGAGGGAGATGAGATTAGAGGACAGGGCTAGGGCTGTCAGAATGAACTTCAGGAGACTTTTCCTCCAGCATCTCACATCCTCACTTTTCTCTACCCTAACCCTCTAGACCCCCATCTTCCATCTTTCCTCCTCTCTACCCTCAGGACACATACAGCCCCCAGGTCATAAACCCTCTTCAGATGAAACACACAGGTGGCATCATCGCTCTGCCAGCTGGCCAGGTCCTCCCTTGTGCGGCATCCTCAGGCCCCCCAGCAGCCCTGCATGATAAGGGGCTCTAGGCAGCCTCCACCCTCGGGTCCAGCCTTCTCCACTTGCCTGGCCCAGCTCTTGCCCCTCCAAGGCCTTCAGCTTGCTGTTCCTTTCCTATTCCATCCTTGCCTCACTACTACTTGAATCTGATCCATGCTTTTATCTCCCTGATCAAGTCTGATTTCCTCTCGGCCAGGACTCCCCCTGGCCCTCCCAGTAATGCATCCACAAGTAACAGCAGCAACCCTTGGCCCCATTCCCCTCAGCCCCTGGTGCTTTCCTGCCTCCTAGAAACTGTTCCCACAAACTGCCATCCTAGCCAGCTCTACCTCCCTGGAGAGAGCTGATCCTTGGGCATCCCATACATATGATTTTCCACCGGTGGCCATAGGAGGATGCACGTTCACCTCCTGTCCTGCTGCTCTGTCCTCTCTGGGCAACTTCTATGTCCCCAAGCTATCTCTTGTTTCAGAGAGTCCCCTCCCAAGTAGCATTCCAGGTCTCCCCTGAACTACTGTCCTCCATCATGTGTTTATCTCCAGTGTCCCAATCCATCAGGACCTCGCATGGGCTCTGAATCCATTAACTGGCTGTGTGACCTGGAAACCAACTTATCCTCTCTGAACCGCAGGTTCCTTAAATGTAACTTGGGAGTGCTAATGTCCAATCCTTTTTTTTTTTTTTTTGAGATAGAGTCTCACTGTCACCCAGGCTGGAGTGCAATGGCGCAATCTCGGCTCACTGCAACCTCCACCTCCTGGGTTTAAGTGATTCTACTGTGTCAGCCTCCTGAGTAGCTGGGATTACAGATGCACCACCGCGCCCAGCTAATTTTTATATTTTTAGTAGAGTCAGGGTTTCACCATGTTGGTCAGGCTGGTCTCAAACTCCTGACCTCAAGTGATCCGCCTGCCTCAGCCTCCCAAAGTGCTGGGATTACAGGCATCAGCCACCACTCCCAACCATGCCCACATCATTTGCTGCTGTGATGATGTCATGAGATGACAAACAGAAACATCTCCTTCCTCCTTCCTCAGTGGTGGTAACTCTCCAGGGTGGGGTGAGAGGACTAGGACAGACTCCCCACCGTCCCCACAAGTGACTGCCTCTGCCTCAGGCCAGATGACCCTGACTCAACCCTGCAAGTTGCAGGAAAGCTGAGCCTAGTCTCTCTCTCCAAGAACCTGGTCCCAAAGAGAAATAGTTCCTGCTGCCAGGGTTCCATGGCTTTCCACAGGTGACCTGTAAGGTCAACTATCTTGAGCCGATAGTATGAGCCGCCATACTATATGGTGGCTCATTTAGAGCCTGTAGCAGCTGGATGGAGACTGCCCACAAAGAACAGGTCAATTTGGTCCATCTTTGCCTTTAGTAGTTGCTTAACAGATGATTTTTGTGGACTTAAACCAACCACCCTGATCGGAACCACACCTTTGTTCCCTTTTCCTAGATGAAAAAAAATGGGATTCTTTGCTATGGCACCTACATGGAGGCCACCTGAGGGGCTCTGGCCAGGAATCCAGGTGTTGAGTCCTTCAGAGTTGTTACCTGGGAGCCACAACCATGAAGCATGTCTGTCCTTTTACAGGTCTCTTAAAACCACCTTCCAAACAGCCACTTCCAAAGTCATACAGCCATTAGGAGAGCTGACTGCACTGATTTTTACCCTTTGTGCTACTGATGTCAGAGGCACAGTAAGCAGATTAGAACAGGGGCGAGATGCTACCTTCTGGCACTTCCTGCCAAAATTTGCCTACAGCACATGGATGGCTGTTTAGAGGTAAGCTAAAAAATCTGGTGGAAAGTGCCTGGAGTCATTTGGGATTTTGAAAACATAAGTCGGCCATGTGTCACTGACACTGCTGGTTGCCTACTTAACATGCGTTTCTCACCCACCCTCCTTTCCTCTTTCGATTCAGAACAGCATCTGCCCTCCTGTGCTCAGCTTTGTGTTTCACAAGGGGTTGATCACAGCCCCAGCCCAAGGGCTGAATCCTCATAGGTCCAAGCCAATCATGGGTTCCCAAACCCTTTGTTGGTAATTGGTTTAGATAAGGGTATGTGACATTGTGACATAGATTTCTTTTTTCTTTTTTTTTTTTTTTTTTTTTGAGACGGAGTCTTGCTCTGTCGCCCAGGCTGGAGTGCAGTGGCACAATCTTGGCTCACTGCAACCTCTGCCTCCCAGGTTCAAGCAATTCTCCTGCCTCAGCCTCCCGAGTAGCTGAGATTACAGGTGCCCATCACCACACCCGCCTAATTTTTGTATTTTTAGTAGAGATGGGGTTTCACCATATCGATCAGGCTAGTCTTGAACTCCTGACCTCGTGATCCGCCCGCCTCGGCCTCCCAAAGTGCTGGCATTACAGGCATGAGCCACTGCACCCGGCCTAATTTTCTGTCATTATAAGCCACCCAGTTTGTGGTAATTTGTTACAGCAGCCCCAGGAAACAAAAATACCCTCTGTCTCCAGCCTCTACCCTCTTTGTTGTGTTGGCTTCTCTTTTTCTTCTGGCTATGGACCAACCCCTGTACTCCCTAAACCACAAAGCTGCCAACAGCTTGCATATTTGACACCTGTCAATCAAGCTTCCAGAAAGAAAAACAGTACCCTCTGTTTTCCAAATCCAGTTCTCCATGAAATAACTTTGATTGGCCTAGCTTGACTTGCAAGCTAAATTTGGTCCAATCAACTGTGCCCAGTGGCAGACTGGCATTGAACCAAGATGGCAACTCCTAAAGTAGCCATATGGATGGGAACAGAAGATACAGGGAAATTTCTAGAGTAACAAGTGTCCGCTCCAGTTATCTTTAAATAGTTACTCCATAAACACTGGCTTCCCTGGACCATGTTAATCTTTTATATTTTCAGGTATATCTATCGATAAACAGTGAGGCAAAGATAAAGAAAAAATATGGATCTTAAAAAGCCAGATATCTCAGCTGATCAGTGAAAGTCTTTGAAAAGGATGTAATGGACACCAGTACTCTTAGAAGTAATAATGGCATAATTTATAAAGTAAATAATTTGATTGTCCCTACTCCAGCTGTCTGCGTGGAAAAGTGAATTGAGGGAATCCAGCCCCGTGCAAAAGGGCTAACAGGAGCAGCCAAATAGGGCCAGGTGCGGCAGCTTACGCCTGTAATCCCAGCACTTTGGGAGGCTGAGATGGGCAAATTACTTGAGGTCAGGAGTTCTAGACCAGCCTAGCCAACATGGTGAAAACCCATCTCTACTAAAAATACAAAAATTAGCTGGGCATGGTGGTGGGTGCCTGTAATCCCAGCTACTCGGGAGGCTGAGGCAGGAGAATCTCTCAAACCCAGGAGGCAGAGGGTGCAGTGAGCCGAGATTGCACCACTGCACTCCAGCCTGGGTATCAAAATGAGACTCTGTCTCAAAAAAAAAAAAAAAAAAAAAAAACACTCTGATAAAGAGCTGAATAGATACAAATAAATAACCCAAATATACTCTTGTTTGTCTTAGAGACAGTAAGCTAAATCTGATCAGAAATGACTGAAGCAAGTCCAGAGATGCCGACAGATTAGTACTTCTACACAGGCAGTTCTTGTGTGCTGAGGGATGAGATACTTGCAGCAACTTTGTGGCCATTCTCTTAGACCACTGAGTAATAGGCTGTGCTGATAACGACTCATAAAACCTTCAGACACAAATTTTGTAATTGCACCATTATTACAAATTGTATTGTCTGACATTCCAGGTTTCTTGTAAATAACTGATGTAAAGCCTCAATCATTAAAGGGGAGGTTTGAGATAGGATCAAAACTATCTTAGTTCTTTTTGAAAACGTCTCTTGCAGTCAAATTATTCCCCAGGAACGTTTCTGTACTATCAGCATGTTTTAAAAAAAAATCTAGATCACTTCTTTTTTTGAGAAAGGGTCTTGCTCTGTCATCCAGGCTGGAATGCAGTAGCGCAAACATGACTCACTGCAGCTTTGACCTCCCTGGGCTCAGGTGATCCCCCCACTTCAGCCTCTTGAGTAGCTGGGACTACAAGTACACACCACCTCGCCCGGCTAATTTTTCTATTTTTTGTAGAGATGGAGTTTTGCCTTGTCCTGAGCTCAAGGAATCAACCACCTCATCCTCCCAAAGTGCTGGGATTACAGGTGTGAGCCACTGCACCTGGCCATAAGTTCCCTCAGGGGTTTTTCTCAAGTTGCCTACAATAATCATAAATACAGCCTTTTCAGTGGCAGACTTATTCTATGGTCCATGATGGTTTACTGAAAACATAGGTTCCTTCCTGTCAATAACTTTCCATTATACTGTTATAATATAGCCAAGATAATATGGTAAAAATATGTTGACATGATAAATTTTTCCAATAAAATGCATCCTTTGCATGCAGACAATTCATACTTATTAGTAAATAAATTTCACTCTTTGGGCAGTTTCTGTCTAGGTCACCCCTTCAATACCAAGTTTAAGGCACAAGCTGATCTAGCATCACACAGGCAATAAACAAAAAACTATATTGTATCTTCTCTTCAACAGAGAATGAGGTAAGGCTCCCAGGATCCGCATGTCCTGTAAAGCTGACAAGGAGCATGTAGTGTGAGGGCACTTAGTGGGCAGTAGTCATTGAGCTCTTCAAGGATTCCCCAAGAGAACACAGGAGTTGGGTTGGAAGGGAAGACTCCCACAATTCCTAAAACAGTGCTGTAGTTCAAGGATAGTTTTATTCTTAGAAGAGTCCCTAGAAAGTCAAATGATAGCTTGTCGGAAGGATTTAAGGAACTAATAATCCACATGAAGTGCTTAGCACAGCACCCGATGTGTGATAAGCATTCAGTATATGTTAGCTAGTCTTGTGATTTGAAGTGGCGGTAGGATTTCTTAACATCCATGATAACTGTTGGGGCTTCCATCTTGGTATCTGTGCAGCTGCATTCTGTGAGTGACAGTGTTCTTGGGTGGAAGCAGCTGGTACCTAATGGCCATCTGGCACTCTGTGGCCAAGCACAACTCCAGCCCTATAGGGTGGAGCGATTACATCAATAAATAGTGGCTGCATTCACAAAATCCATGGGCCCTGTCTGGGAAGCCAAAAACCTGCTTGACAGCCTGTGCTCTTGTTACAGTAGGTAGCTAGCCAGCCATGAGCAGGGCAGGAGAGGAACCCTCCCAACCACCAGGAATGTCAGGCAACCATCAGGTGATGGTAAAGCATTTGTTACACTGTCTCCCTAAATTAATCTTTAGGTCAGTAAAAAGTAATTGTGGTTTTTGTTATTGGTTTTAATGACAAAGACCGCAATTACTTTTGCACCAACCTAGGAATTGGTCACAGCTGGTGCCAGGGAAAGGCAGTCTCCTAGTAGAGAGAAACACCTGAAACTAGCAATCAGCAGCTTCCCAGTGAGATCTCTAGAGTTGGGTGAGTGGGCTCAAGTATGTACACTAAGGGGCAAAATGACGGAGTTTAACCAGTATATGACCTTCCTCCAGGAACACTGGTAAGGGGAGAATGCCTCAAGTGAGCATGCACACAACTCCAGTTAAATACACTGCACATGTGGCCCCTCCCAAGTGCTGGCAGGCCACTGTGCACCCAGACAGCCCATCCCAAGGAAGAATCAAGAAGAAGAGATGCAGAGCCCGGAAGCATGCCATTGTATAAAACCCCAAGTCAAAGGTCAAGCAGTGCACTTGACTCTCTCAAGTCTCCCGCTTGGCCCTCTTCCAAGTGTACTTTACTTCATTTCGTTCCTGCTGTAAAGCTTTTTAATAAACTTTCACTCCTGCTCTAAAACTTGCCTCTGTCTGTCACTCTGCCTTATGCCCTTTGGTTGAATTCTTTCTTCTGAGGAGGCAAGAATTGAGCTTGTTGCAAACCCATAATGATTTGCCACTGCTATCACTGTCCAGGGCCAAGGAATATCCCTTTCCAGTAGGTGATAACATGGCTCAGTAATGGCTGCCATTTACAAAAATGCAAAAGAGGCCTGGCGCGGTGGCTCACTCCTGTAATCCCAGCGCTTTGGGAGGCCGGGGCAGGTGGATCACCTGAGGTTGGGAGTTTGAGATCAGCCTGACCAACATGGAGAAATCCCGTCTCTACTAAAAATACAAAATTAGCCTGGCATGGTGGCACATGCCTGTAATCCCAACTGCTCAGGAGGCTGAGGCAGGAGAATCACTTTAACCCAGGAGGCAGGGGTTGTGGTGAGCCAAGATCGCGCCATTGCACTCCAGCCTGGGCAAAAAGAGCAAAACTCTGTCTCCAAAAAAAAAAAAAAAAAAAAAAAAGCAAAAGAAAATGAGTAGCTCTGGCAGCAAGGCTATGGCACTTCCTTTATTTTTCAGTATTTTTTAGTAGATTGAACAGATACTATGCCTGCTTGATTTCAAGTGCTATGGATCCCTGAATGGTAGTCATGGTAGCAGAAGTGAAAATAGGAAGTTCCACGATATATATATTTTTTAATTTCCCACTTCTATGTCTGATTTATCTTCATAAAACAGGACATTCTGATTTTGTTCTGGGTAGTCTTTCTCTGTTGACCTCATCATTGAAACACAGTGCTACCCCCTTGGACTCCTAGAAGAGAGGTTGTCATCAAAGCATTAGGAAGCTTTAGGAACCCCAGGAATTCTAGAAAGCATCTGAAGGTCAGCGATTGGACATCTGTTGATAAACTTGGGCGGAGTCAACTATTGCAAATAATTGCCCCCTCCCAGAAAATATTAGAGGGTGCTCACTAGCCCCAGGCATCTGCCATGGGTGCTGCCTTCTCACACAGTGTCTGTACATGTCCCCAGTTACACTAACATCTTTAAGCTCAAAGAATCCCAGCTCCTCCAGGGACTGCAGTGGGAACCTTGAATAGATGACCAACCTCCATCAGCCTGTTTCTTCATCTGCAAAGTGGTAAAATAGCTTTATTCCACACGGTTGTTTTAAGGTAGAAAAATACAATATATAATAATTATATATAATATAGTTTTTATTGTATAAAAATACAACATGCAATGTAAATAAGTATGTATAATATTATATATATAATAATATAATTGAGTATTTAGCACAGCACTAGCCAGATAATAAATGCCCAATAAGTATATGGAAGAAATAGAGAAGACAACTACCAGTGCAATTCTTTTTTTTTTTTTTTTTTTGGGACAGAGTCTCGCTCTGTCACCCAGGCTAGAGTGCAGTGGCGTGATCTCGGCTCACTGCAACCTCCACCTCCCAGGTTCAAGCGATTCTCCTGCCTCAGCCTCCCGAGTAGCTGAGATGACAGGCACACACCATCACGCCCGGCTAATTTTTGTATTTTTAGTAGAGACGGGATTTTGCCATGTTGGCCAGGCTGGTTTCAAACTCCTGACCTCCAGTGATCCACCCACCTCAACCTCCCAAAGTGCTGGGATTACAGGTGGGAGCCACCATGCCGGGCCTACCAATGCAATTCTTAAAAACTGCTGAGTATGTTTTACTGATCTAAGAACACTTCGTTACGCTAGGTCGAGGATTTATAATTTGAGGTTTATGGTGCCTTAGAGAAACTTACTTAAATTTTATGCGAAATGATATATTTATGGGCGTTTCTCTAGGGAGAAGGCGCAGAGTTTTCACCAGATTCTTAGATTCTCTGCTCTGGATAAGGTTAGGAACCACCATGGTTTCTATTTCTTAAGCCCACACCTCACTCCCATTAGGATGTCTCCTATCCAAAAAACAAAAAAAAAGGCCAGGTGCAGTGGCTCATGCCTGTAATCTCAGTACTTTGGAAGGCCAAGGCAGGTGGATCACCTGAGGTCAGGAGTTCGAGACCAGCCTGGCCAACATGGCAAGACCCCCATATCTACGAAAAATACAAAAATTAGCCAGGAGTGGTGGCTGGCACCTGTAATTCCAGCTACTCAGGGGGCTGAGGCAGGAGAATTGTTTCAACCTGGGAGGCGGAGGTTGCAGAGAGCCAAGATTGTGCCATGGCACTCCAGCCTGGACCACAAGAATGAAACTCCTTTTCAAAAAAAATAATAATAATAACAGAAAATAACAGAGATTGGAACATTATTGTATCAGGCTGCTCAGACTTTCATAATAAAAAAAAAGCTCCAGACTGCAGGTCAGGCATGGTGGCTCATGCCTGTAATCTCAGAGCTTTGGGAGGCCAAGGCAGGCTGATTATTTGAGCCCAGGAGTTCTAGACCAGCCTGGGCACCATAGTAAAATCCTGTCTCTATGAAAAATACAAAAAATTAGCTGGGCATAGCGGTGCGCGCCTATAGTCCCAGCTACTCAGGAGGCTGAAATGGAAGGATAGTGGAGTCCAGGAGGTAAATGTTGCAGTGAACTGAGATTGCACCACTGCACTCCAGCCTGAACAATTGAGCGAGAGCCTGTCAAAAAAAAAAAAAGAAAAAACCAAAAACCTCCAGACTGGGTAGCTTAAACAACACAAATACATTTTCTCACAGTTCTGGAGGCTAGATGTCCAAGATCAAGTTTCTGGCTGATTCGGTATCTGGTCAGCTGATTCAGTATCTCCTCCTGGCTCGCAAATGGCTGCCTCTTGCTCTGTCCCTACAAAGCCTTAGTGCCTTCGCATGGAGAGAAAAGGGCTAGCTCTTTGGTGCTCTTCTTTTATTATTATTATTATTATTATTATTATTATTATTATTTTTTGAGACAGAGCCTCGCTGTCTCCCAGACTGGAATGCAGTAGTAGTGTGATCTCAGCTCATATCAACCTCTGCCCCCACGGGTTCAAGCGATTCTCCTGCCTCAGCCTCCCAAAGATCACAGGCATGAGCCATGGCTCCTGGACCCCATGCTTTTACAAATGAGGAAACTGAGTCGTAGAGAGGGTTAAGGAACTTCCTGAATAGAAATAAAAAGTAGGAATGGGAATCAAACCTAGGCATTTGGGATCCAGTGTGGTGGCACGCACGTGCCAGTAATCCCAACTACTGGGGAGGCTGAGGCATGTTTCCACGACAACAGGCTATCTCACAAAAATGTAAGTGTCTCATGAGTCTCTAAGTCATCTCGGTTTAGGGACCAAGCCAATTGTCTCTGTAATGCTTCAGTTTTAATATATGCACTGTCAAAGTGAGCATGTATAAAAATGTACATTGTCAGCTATGATAATTAAATCCTTGACTCATCTGAACACTCCGCTATAACAGCAAGCATCACGTCATTTTGTAACTGTCTCTTAGCTGGTCCACCTCCTCTACCTCCTCCACTAAACCGCGCATTCCCTGACAACAGGGTTGACTTGTTCCCGTCTTAACCCCTTGTCTGATACAAGGTATTATGACCCTGGATATATACAAGTTAGATCATTTTGCAAGTGAGACTTGTACCATTTATAAGGACAAATACTCATTTTATATTTTAGTCTTACAAGGAAAAAGGCATCTGAGAAAATGTAGGGCATATGCAAGGGCCCCCACAAATTGAGCATAACACAATTCTGCAGATGTCTTGCTTTGTTATTGTTGTTTGGGGTTGTGTTTTTTGTTTTTATTTTTTGCTTGATAATAAGATTAAAGCCTCATATATATGTCAGAAAGTAGGGTGGCTGAATCTAATATCTTAGCATGTCCCATATTTTAAGCATAGTAGCTGCTCTATTTTCCAAATTAACTTGTTGATCATTTAAGTATCAAGAAGCCATGTGGTCCAGTCAGAGAAACATGCATCTCACAACTAAAAGTTGTGACTTTTAGTCACAGGCAACTTCAGGCCAGGCGCAGGGGCTCACACCTATAATATCAGCACTTTGGGAGGCCAAGGCAGGCAGATCACTGGAGGCCCAGAGTTCGAGACCAGCCTGGCCAAGACAGGGAAACCCCAGCTCTACCAAAAATACAAAAATTAGCTGGGAGTGGTGGCGCACGCCTATAAGTCCCAGCTACTGGGGAGGCTGAGGCAGGAGATTCGCTTGAACCTGAGAGGCAGAGGTTGCAGTGAGCCGAGATCGTGCCACTGCACTCCAGCCTGGGCAAAAAGAAGAAGAAAAGCAAGGGAAGGAAAAGAAAAGAAAAAACAGAAAAAAAGAAAAGAAAAGAAAAAGCAACTTCAAAATAATTCAGATCCTTCCCTTGTGTTTCTCAGAAGCCATGAAGTAGGGCCAAATAAATGTTCCAGAGCAGCCCTTATTAGAAAGCCCTTTCCTTTTCTAACCTCATACTCTAGCTGCTTCAGTGCCTCCTTCTACACATTTTTGGTGCTCATCTGGATCAAAATGTTGGAATAACACCACAAATTTATCTTCTCCCCAATCTCAAACTCATAAAATGCTACTAAATTAATTTAAAAGGCATAAACCTTCAATGGTAGAAGGAATAGCAGGCAGATCACACACAAGAGATTTCAGCAAAGCTCTGCAAGATGAGGAGCACCTGGAGAAGAGTAGCTACTGGGTGGGCTGAAGAAGTCCCAGCCAAGAGTAAGGTGCTCAGCGTAACACCAGGGAAGGATGTCAGCAAGTCTCGCACAAACTTAGAGAGACTTGGGATTCAGAAATGCTTGGTGGGAGTGAAATGCGAGCTGAAATAGAAAATTATGGAAGATGTCCATATGGAACAAGTGGACTCACCACCAACGTTCAAATCCACCCACTTCACATGCCCCTGTGGAAACACCAACACCTGGGAGCAATATATATTCCCTCCAGACGAACAATCACACAACCTCTTTTTCAAGAAACTGAATGTTCCAGAGGAAAGAATTCTGTGTTCTAGCCTTTAGGGGCCCAGGATAATGGACAGCAGCCCTCCGGGTCACCCTGACGCAGAGACTTCCATGGGAGAAGCCCCACCTACAAAATGCAAAAGAGTGCAATCCCTAAGAAGGGGGATTTAGCAATATGGAGCAAAATTACATATGCATTTGTTCTCTGACCAGCAAGCTCACGTCCACAAATCTATGCAAAAGATACATTGACAAACTATGAAAAAGACATATATACAACAGTATTCATTGCAACTGTATTTGCAATAGCGAAAGACTGGAACCAAATGTCCATAGGAATGGATTGACTAAACATTCAACCCAAAACAATGGAGAGCTCTGTAACTATAAAAAGAAACAAGGAAGATGCCTGTGAACTTCTAGGAGTTGATCTTCATGAAGTATTGTTCAGGGGCAGGGAAAGCCAAGCATGTTCCCTTTTGTTTAAGAAGGGAGAAATATAAATATAAAAACATATATTTATCTTTTGAAATAAACAATGAAAGAGTAAAACACAATCGATTTTTAAATGCTTATCTAAATATCTCAGTTAAAAGGTGGAAATTGGCAGACTCAATAAAAAAAGCAAGACCCAACTACTGTATATAATCTTTATAAGAAATACATTTTATTTTATTTTATTTTATTTATTTTTAAGATGGAGTCTCTCTCTGTCACCCAGGCTGGAGTGCAGTGGCTCACTGCAACCTCTGCCTCCCGGGTTCAAGCAAGTCTCCTGCCTCAGCCTCCCCAGTAGTTGGGATTACTGGCACGTGCATGCCACCATACTGGCTACTTTTTTTTTTTTTTTTTTTAGATGGAGTCTCACTCTATCGCCCAGGCTGGAGTGCAGTGGCATGATCTCAGCTCACTGCAACCTCTGCCTCCCAGGTTCAAGCAATTCTCCTGCCTCAGCCTCCCGAGTAGATGGGACTACAGGCATATGCCACCATGCACAGCTAATTTTTTTTTTTTTTTTTTTTTTTGTATTTTAGTGGAGACAGGGTTTTACCATGTTGCCCAGGCTGGTCTCGAACTCCTGGAATCAAGTGATCTGCCTGCTTTGGCCTCCCAAAGTGCTGGGATTACAGGTGTGAGCCACCGTGACCAGCAAGAAACACACTTTAATCATAAAGACACTTTGCAAGATCTACCATGCAGGGCGGATCACAAGGTCAAGAGACGGAGATCATCCTGGCCAACATGGTGAAACTCTGTCTCTACTAAAAATACAAAAATTAGCCAAGTGTGGTGGCAGGTGCCTGTAGTCTCAACTACTTGGGAAGCTGAGGCAGGAATATCACTTGAACCTAGGAGGTGAAGGTTGCAGTGAGCCGAGATTATGCTACTGCACTCCAGCCTCGCAATAGAGTGAGACTCCGTCTCAAAAAAAAAAAAAAAAAGAAAGATCAACCATACAAACTCTAAACATAAGAAAGCTAGCGTGACTATTAAAATAGCAGGCAAGGGTAAACTTCAAGAGAAAGAGTATTCCTAACGATCAAGAAAGACATTTCATTCCAATAGAAAGGTTGATTCATCAAGAAAAAAACAGAACAATCTTAACTGTGCACACACCTCATAACGTAGCTTCCAGATACATGAAACAAAAATCGATGGTACTAATTTTAAGCACAGTTCCTGGCAATGTTAGGAGGTAAGTTTCTCATTTGTCACTTTCAGAGTGCACCTGGAGTTGACAGCTGGCTGTCCTGAGCCTACCATCAACACTAACAAGTGTGCACCACAATCCTCATGCCTCTCATTGATGCATGGCATCCGAGGGACACAGCCACTACATAAGCAAATGCCTCACTTTCCACAAGTACCTTTTCCAAATTCACCGCAGGCCAAAAGCTTAATAATTTTGATGATACTGCATACCACGTATTACCATATCCCCCTCCCAATCATTAATAATGCGGTCCTTGAGAAGACCTTAAGGTGAGTAATCCTACTCCAAAATTCTTTTTTAAGGGTCTGCTTTCTAGGGTCATGCCTGTTATTAAATATCTTGGTCAGAGCTTCCCAGACAACCGAACCTAAGGCAATCCCAAGGAGCTTGGTGTGGGTGGTGGGGAAGGAGGGAGAGCGATGGAGGAGGCACTACCAGCTGGCCCCTGCCTGTTAATGCACAGTCAGATGGGACCATCAGCTTCTCAGCACAGTCTGTCTGGAAGGGGAGAAATGGGGAAGAATTGATCAACTGGCTCTATCTTCACCAGTCAAAGCTTGGCCCTAAGGCTACACTGTTAGGGACACCTACTGCGGACCCACCGTGTCTCCCACCTCAGTGTGCGCCGGGAAACCCTCTGGGCGTGAGGGAAGAGTCACACAGTGTGGCATGAAGAGAGGTGCTGTCAAAGTATGTCTGGGATGGTGATCAGAGCCCGTGAAAAGATGCTTCTAGCAGCAACAGCTAGACCAAGATGTGAGGCAGAGAACCCAGAATGGTGCATGGGAGGGGTCTGATAGATAGAATCTACTAAATCTACACCTAACAGCACACTTAAATGTGAAACAGTCGGTGTTCTTCCCCTGGGGTTAGGAACAAGACAAGTTTTCCCGTGAGCACTGTTTTAATCAACAATGTGCCAGAGGTCAGAGGCAGTGCAAGAAGGCAAGAGAAAGGATAAGAACCATAATGGGCCAGGCGCATTGGCTCACACCTGTAATCCCAGAACTTTGGGAGGCCAAGGTGGGTGGATCACCTGAGGTCAGGAGTTCCAGACCAGCCTGGCCCTGAGGTCAGGAGTTCCAGACGAGCCTGGCCAGCATGGTGAAACCCTGTCTCTATTAAAAATACAAAAAATTAGCTGGGCATGGTGGCACGCACCTGTAATCCCAGCTATTGAGAGGCTGAGGCAGGAGAATCACTTGAACCCAGGATGCAGAGGTTGCAGGAAGCCGAGATCGCTCCACAGTGCTCCAGCCTGGGCAACAGAGTGAGACTCAGTCTCAAAAACAAACAAACAAACAAACAAACAAACAAACAAAAAACCATAATGATTGGAAATAAATAAATAAAACTGCTGTGATTCACAGAAAATTTAAAAGAACCTATAGATTAACCATTAGTATTAATAAATGAATTTATTAGGGAATCTGGAGATAAAAGTCAGTTCAAAAATCAGTTGTATTTCTATACGAGAGCAACAAACTAATAGAAAATGAAATTTCAAACTAAATACCATTTGCAACAGTATGAAAAAGCATCAAACATTTCCTGAATCTGGAACCCACAGGTGTACATCGAGTCACTCAAGGCTGATCATTTAAAAGCAAAAACAAAAACAAAAATACCTACATTGCAGAGAGCAAGAGAAATGGGCTCTAGAGCTCATCTGTACTGTAAATTTCCCTCTACCCATGTCCAAATCCATCTAAATAAACCAGTGGTCCTTCCTGAAAGGTGTGCCTGAAAGTGTGATCAGACCTGTTATGTAGACTGAAAAAAAAAATAATGAATACAAATAGAAACAAATGGCCAGGCGCGGTGGCTCACGCCTGCAATCCCAGCACTTTGGGAGGCCGAGGCGGGCAGATCACGAGGTCAGGAGATCGAGACCATCCTGGCTAACACGGTGAAACCCCGTCTCTACTAAAAATTCAAAAAATTAGCCGGGCGTGGTAGCGGGCGCCTGTAGTCCCAGCTACTCAGGAGGCTGAGGCAGGAGAATGGCGTGAACCTGGGAGGCGGAGCTTGCAGTGAGCCGAGATGGCGCCACTACACTCCAGCCTGGGCGACAGAGCAAGACTCCATCTAAAAAAAAAAAAGAAAGAAAGAAAGAAATAGAAATAAATGCCACAAGACTGCTTCTGAAGGCCTCATGGGGAAAAGCCAAGAGTTTTATGAGTGGGATTAGACAGTCAAATTGCACATGACAACCGGAATGTGACAGAAGAGTTAAGAAGCATTCTCAACTTGGTAGTGGAGACAGAGACGCACGGCATGGGAAACCTGTGCTCTCCCTTCCTTCCACTTAGACCTGGTGGTCATAGAATCTGCTCTATAGTTTGTCAGTCAAAAGGGGCAAGACCCAGAAGAGTTTTTCTCAGCTACAAGAGGAGAAAACTGTATGTCTTTGGCGGAATTAGAAAGAAATTCTCCCTGAGTTACGTGGGAGCTATTTGAGCACCATCGCCCGCTCTCCTGCCCAAAGCCTTGGCAGCTTGCCTCCTGCCCGCCACTCATTTTGCCCACACTCCATTTTCTTTGTCTGGTATAAGTCTTCTAAGTTTGGTATTCCAACCATTGGTCCCATGTTCCTTGTCACGCTCTGCGAGGATCTTTAGGACTTCAGAAGCCTGGATTGGGCCAGGCGCGGTGGCTCACACCTGTAATCCCAGCACTTTGGGAGGTCGAAGTGGGCGGATCACCAGAGGTTAGGAGTTTGAGACCAGACTGGCCAACATGGTGAAACCCTGTCTTTACAAAAATACAAAAATTAGCCGGGCATGATGTTGGGCATCTGTAATCCCAGCTACTGGGGAGGCTGAGGTGGGAGAATCGCTTGAACCCAGGAGGTGAAAGTTGCAGTGAGCTGAGATCGTGCCACTACACTCCAGCCTGGGTAACAGAGCGAAACTCCATCTCGAAAAAAAAAAAAAGGAAGAAGAAGCCTGGATTGGCATGGTAGAGTTCTACGGCATTGTATCCACAAGGTTGTTGGGTTCAAGTGTCTAAGATTGACAAGCTTTAAAAAATTAAAATTAAAAAAAGCAACACCCTGTCACCCAAGCTGGAGTGCAGTGGTGCAATCATGGCTCACTGCAGCCTCAAACTCTGGGCTCAAGCAATCCTCCCGCCTCAGCCTCCCAAACAGCTGAGACTACAAGCAAGCACAACACCACCCAGCTAACTTTAAAAATATTTTTTGTAGAGATAGGCTCTTGCTATGTTGCCGAAGCTGCTTTCGAACTCCTGGGCTCAAGTGATCCTCCAGCATGGGCCTCCCAAAGTGCTGGGATTACATCCTTGAGCTACTGCAGTATGACCTGGTTGGGAAGCTTTTAAAGGGAATCTTAGAAATGTTAGATCCCAGGAAGAATGGATGGGCTCTGAAGTATAAAAGGCAACTCAGAAATTAATGTGAATACATGTTTAAATGTAGCACTAGGCAGCTAGTCAATTGCAGCTCAACTCAGCTCTCACCTGGTTCTGTATGAATTACATTCAGTATGGCAGGTGGTATATTTTCACATGTTTTGTGGGGAAGTGCAGCCTCTAAAATGAGGTGTGCCCATCACCTTTTGTGGCCTTACGTGCCTTGGCAGAGTTCCCAAGCTGGGCCTTCAGATTCACAACCTTGTGGAAGCCTCACAGGGTGAGGATTAAGTGAGATAATAGAAATTAAACGACTTTGAAAGAACATGGTGTACCTGCACAAATACCAAAAAATGTTTTAGGTTCTTTGAGGACTTCTTGTCATTCTTTTGTATTCTCCTTTCTCTTCTGCTTTTAGACGGAGTCTCACTCTGTCGCCCAGACTGAAGTGCAGTGGCGCAATCTCAGCTCACTGCAACCTCTGCCTCCAGGGGATTCTCCTGCCTCAGCCTCCCAAGTAGCTGGGACTACAGGCGCACACCACCATGCCCAGCTAACTTTTATATTTTTAGTAGAGACGGGGTTTCGCCATGTTGGCCAGGCTGGTCCTGAACTCCTGACTTAAGTGATCTGCCTGCCTCGGCCTCCCAAAGTGCTGGGATTATAGGCATGAGCCATCATGCCCAGCCTGAGTCAATTTCAATTTCTCCTTCACCCTCATCCCTCAAGCCAATCTCAGGTACCTCTTGGGAGAACCGCCTCAACCCCAGCAAGCACTACTGTTCTGACTCTTGTTATGCTTGCCTGGACCAGTGCGGTTGTCTACGATTGTTTGGTCGGTCCACCTGGAGCCTTTGTCCCTCTAGTCTTCCACTCCCCTTTAGAAGATGAAGCTTCCTAAACCTCAGACCACATCATGCAGATCCAGGAATGTTTCCTTGCTCCATAGTCTATCAGGTTAAAAATGTTTCCTTCTATTATTAGTAAATAGGATTTTTTTTTTTTAATCAGGACGGGGCATGGTGGCTCACGCCTATAATCCCAGCACTTTGGGAGGCCGAGGCAGGCAGATCACTTGAGGTCAGGAATTCGAGAGCAGCCTGGCCAACATGGGGAAACCCCGTTTCTACTAAAAACACAAAAATTAGCCGGCTGTGGTGTCGGGCACCTGTAATCCCAGCTACTTGGCAGGTTGAGGCAGGAGAATCGCTTGAACCTGGGAGGCAGAGGTTGCAGTGAGCCAAGATCGTGCCACTGCACTCCAGCCTGGACGAAGAGTCTAGAAGAAAAAAGAAAAAGAAAAAGAAAAAGAAAAACACTCAGAAATGGGTATTAATTTCATTAAATCTCTTTTTTTAGTATCTCTTAAACTTCTCATACCAGTAGGTCCAATAAGAACCTACTGATATGCCATATCACAGTAACATATTTTCCATTTTTATGTCATTTTAACCCTCCTGAGATAAACTCTTCTTCATGGTGATAGTAGATAATTGTTTTAAATTGAATTCAATTTGCTAGCATTTTGTTTGGGATTTTTTATGGCAATAATTCTCCATAATTAGGACTGTGCAATAGAGGTAATTTTCAAAAAGCAAGCTGCACAGCCCTTAGTTTCCACAGAAACCCAAAATGTAGTTGTGGGTGGGAAGTAGGCAGGGAGGGGTTTGTGGTGGAAAGAGTGGGAAGAGGGGAAGGAAAGTAAGTGACTACAAGCTCCCCACTCTTGTTTCTACCAGCAACCCTTCATCTTTTACAGTCTTTTCACACTGGGGTTCCATGTGTGGTTTTTTGGTATTGACATTATCTGAGTAAAATAAATGAAATGGTTTTCCATCTCTTCATATGTGCTGAACCACTTTAAATAACATGGAAAATTATCTGTTCCCTAAAACATTTTAACTCAGATCCTTTTTTGCAGGGAGGGACAATGAGAGGGTCAGTAAGTTTTTGATAATTTTTTTAATTGACATTTTTGTTGAGATCATTACAGATACACATGCAGTTGTGAGAAGCAATACAGAGAGGCTCTTTGTACACTTTGTCCAGTTTTCTCCAAGGGTAATAGTTTGCAAAACTATAGTATACTGCCGGGCACAGTGGCTCAAGCCTGTAATCCTAGCACTTTGAGAAGCAGAGGTGGGTGGATAACTTGAGATCAGGAGCTCGAGACCAGCCTGGCCAACATGGTGAAATCCCATCTCTACTAAACATACAAAAATTAGCCGGGGCAAGGTGCAGTGGCTCAAGCTGGGCAGAGTAGGCCTGGCATTTTGGGAGGCCAAGGCAGGTGAATCGCCTGAGGTCAGGAGTTCAAGACCAGTCTGGCTAACATGGTGAAACCCTATCTATACAAAAATACAGGCCGGGCCTGCAGTGGCTCATGCCTGTAATCTCAGCACTTTGGGAAGCCAAGGCGGGCATAACACGTGAGGTTGGGAGTTCGAGACCAGCCTGACCAACATGGAGAAACCCTTTCTCTACTAAAATACAAAATTAGCTGGGCATGGTGGTGCATGCCTGTAATCCCAGCTACTTAGGAGGCTGAGGCGGGAGAATCACTTGAACCTGGGAGGTGGAGGTTGCGGTGAGCCGAAATCGCGCCATTGCACTCCAGTCTGGGCAACAAGAGCAAAACTCTGTGTGTGCATATACACGTATGTATGTGTGTATATACACACATATACACGTATGTGTGTATATACACACATACACGTATGTGTGTATATACACACATATACACGTATGTGTGTATATACACACATATACACGTATGTGTGTATATACACACATATACACATACAGGAAATATTCCTGTATCTGCATGATGTGGTCTGAGATTTAGGAAGCTTCATCTTCTGGAGGGGAGTGGAAGACTAGAGGGACAAAGACTCCAGGTGGACAGACCAAACAATCGTAGACATATATTTTTATATATATATATAAATTAGCTGGGCATGATGTCAGGCTGCTTATAATACCAGCTACTCCAGAAGCTGAGGCAGGAGAATCGCTTGAACCTGGGAGGCGGAGGTTGCAGTGAGCCAAGATCACGCCACTGCATTCCAGCCTGGGCAACAGAGTGAGACTCCGTCTCAAAAAATAAATAAAATAAAAAATAAAAAATAAAAACAAAAATAAAAAAGGAAGTTTTTATTTCTCCAGGATAAATGCCCAACAGTGCAACTGCTGGGTTTTGTGGTGAGTGCATATATCATTCTATAAGAAACTGCAAAATTGTTTTCCAGAATTGTGATATCATTTTATATTTCTGCTAGTAAATGCATGAGTAATTCAGTTTCTCTATTTCCTTGCCAGCATTTGGTGTTGTCATTTTCTACTGTAGCCATTCTAATAGATATACAGTCAGTCCTCCATATCCATGGGTTCCACGTTCATGCATTCAACCGAGGATCAAAAATATATTTTATTTCAAAGACGGTGGTTGTGTCTGTACTGAATATGTTAAAAAAAATTCTTGTCCTTATTTCCTAAACAATACAATATGACAACTATTAACCTAGCATTTATATTGTATTAGGGTTTTCTTAACTTTTTTTTTTTAAGAGACAGAGTCTTTACTCTGTTGCCCAAGCTGGAGTGCAATGCTGTGATTACAGCTCACTGCAGCCTTGAACCCTGGGCTCAAGAAATTCTCCCACCTCAGCCTCCCAAGCAGCTAAGACTACAGTCATGCACTACCATGCCCAAATAATTTTTTAAAAAAATTTTTGTTTTTGTTTTTGTTTTTTGTAAAGACAGGGTTTCACTATTGCCTGGGCTGGTCTCAAACCCCTGGCCTCAAGCAATCCTCCCACCTCATCCTCCCAAAGCACTGGGATTATAAGCATGAGCCACTGACCCGGCCTGTATTAGGTATTAGAAGTAACCTAGAGATGATTTAAAGTATACAGGAGGACTACATAGGTTAGCAGTACATAGGTTAGGTACACCATTTTACATCACGGACGTGAACATCCGTGGAGTTTGCTGTCTGTTGGGGAACAGGGGCGCTGGAACCAACCCCTCATGGATATGGTCGGTTCCAGCAACCCTCACGGAAATGGAGGGATGACTGTACAGGGCATCTCATTGTGATTTTAACTTGCATTTCCCTCATGGCTAATAATGTTGAACGTCTTTCATATGCCTATTTTGTCATCCTGTATCTTTTTCAATAAAATTTCTGTTCATGTCTTTTGCTCTTTTTCTAACTGGATGGTTTGTTTGTTTTTGTTGCTGTTGTTACTATTGAGTTTTATGAGTTTTTTAAACAGTATTCCACCTTTATCCTCGGGAGACACATTCCAAGACCCCCCCCAGTGAATGCCTGAAACGCAGATGGTGCTGAGCTCTGTACATACTATGTTTTTCCTTCACTTACACACCCAGGATAAAGTGTAATTTATAAATTAGGCACAGTAAGAGATTAACAACAATAACTAATAATTAAGTTTTTTGGGATTTTTTGTGAGACAGAGTCTCACTCAGTCACCCAGGCTGGAGTGCAGTGGCGTGATCTCGGCTTACTGCAGCCTCTGCCTCCTGGGTTCAAGCGATTCTCCTGCCTCAGCCTCCCAAGCAGCTGGGATTACAGGCACCCGCCACCACGCCCAGCTAATTTTTCTATTTTTAGTAGAGATGGGATTTTGCCATGTTGGCCAGACTGCTCTCGAACTCCTGACCTCACGTGATCCACCTGCCTCAGCCTCCCAAAGTGCTGGGATTATAGGCATGAGCCACCGCACCCAGCCAATAATTAAGTTATTATTAGTAAAGTGTTATTAAATAAAATAAGGGTTACTTGAACACAGGCACTGTGATACTGGGACAATCAGTCTGGTGACTGAGATGGCTGCTAAGTGACTTCCAGGTAGCTAGTGTGGACAGCGTGGCTATCCCAGGCAAAGGAATGACTCACATCCCAGTGAGGGGGAGAGGACTGGCACGAGATTTTGTCATGTTACTCAGGACAGTGCACAATTTAAAACTTATGAATTGTTTATTTCTGAAATTTTCCATTTAATATTTTCAGATACTGACTGAGAGCAGATACCTGAAACCACAGAAAGTGAAACCAAGGAGAGGTAAGGATCACTGTATATTCCAGATACTAGTCGTTTGCTGGATATTTGGTTTGCAGATATTTTCTCCTAGCATATAATTTGTCTTCATCCTCTTCACATGGACATAAACAGCAAAAAAAAAAAATTTATTTATTTATTTATTTATTTATTTATTTTGAGACAGAGGCTCACTCTGTTGCCCAGGCTGGAGTACAGTGGTGTGATCTCAGCTCACTGCAACTTCTGCCTCCAGAGTTGAAGCAATTCAGTTCTCCTGCCTCAGCCTCCTGAGTAGCTGAGATTATAGGCGCCTGCCACTATACCCAGCTAATTTTTTGTATTTTTCGTAAAGGCAGGGTTTCACCATGTTGGCCAGGCTGGTCTCTAACTCCTGACCTCATGATCCGCCCGCCTCGGCCTCCCAAAGTGCTGGGATTACAGGTGTGAGCCACCGCGCCTAGCCAAAAAACTTTAATTTTGATGAAGTTCGATTTATCAATTTTTTCTTTTATGAATCATGCTTTTGTTATCAAATCTAAACACTTTGCCTAGCGCTAAATGCTGAAAATTTTTACCTATTTTTTATTTTTTTAAAAATTATAGTTTTATGTCTACATCACATTGTACTCCATAAATGTATAAAATTATGATTGGTTAATTAAAAATAATATTAATAAAAAATCTAAATGGGTCATAGACTTAAATGTAGACATGGCAGAAGGTGAGAGGGCGAGAGAGAGAAAAGGGGCCAAACTTACCTTTTTATAACGGACCCACTCCTGGGATAACAAACCCACTCCTGCTATAATGGCATTAATCCATTAATAGGGGCCGAGCCCACAAGGCCTAACTACTTCTTAAAGATCCCAATTCTATTAATGTTATAATAGCAATTGCGTTTTTGTTTTGTTTTGTTTTTGAGATGGAGTTTTGCTCTTGTTGCCCAGGCTGGAGTGCAATGGCGTGATCTCAGCTCACCACAACCTCCGCCTCCTGGGTTCAGGCAATTCTCCTGCTTCAGCCTCCGGAGTAGCTGGGATTACAGGAGCCACCACGGCCAGCTAATTTATTTGTTTTTGTTTTGTTTTGTTTTTGAGACGGAGTTTCGCTGTTGTTGCCCAGGCTGGAGTGCAATTGCATGATCTCAGCTCACTGCAACCTCTGGCCTCCCAAGTTCAAGCGATTCTCTTGCCTCTCGAGTAGCTAGAATTACAGGCACCTGCCACAAAGCCCAGCTAATTTTTTGCATTTTTAGTAGAGATAGGGTTTCTCCATGTTGGTCAGCTGGTCTCAAACTCCCATCCTCAGATGATCCGCCAGCCTTGGCCTCCCAAAGTGCTGGGATTACAGGCATGAGCCACCACGCCCAGCGCAGTAATTACATTTTAACATAAATTTTGGAGAGGACGAACATTCAAACCATAGCAGGATAATACTAGCCTCACAAAATAACTTTGGAAATATTCCTATGCCTTCTATTTTCTGGAAGAAATTGTGTAAAATTGGCGTTCATTATTCTTTAGATGTTAGAATTTTCCAGTGAGACTATCTAGGCCTGGATATTTTTGCAGGGAGAGCTTTGAAATTGTTAATTCAATTCCTTCAGTGGTTATGGGACCAGTCAGATTTTCTGTTTCATCTTGGATGAGTCTTGATAGTTTGTGGTTTTTGAAGGATTGGTCCATTTCATAAAGTTGTCAAATTTATCACTGTAAAGTTGTGTATTAGTCCATTCTCAAGCTGCTATAAGGACATACCTAAGACTGGGTAATTTATAAAGAAAAAGAGGTTTGGGCCGGGCCTAGTGGCTCACACCTATAATCCTAGCACTTGGGGAGGCCGAGGCGGGTAGATCACTTGAGGTCAGCAGTTCAAGACCAGCCTGGCCAACATGTGAAATCCCATCTCTACTTAAAATACAAAAGTTAGCCAGGCATGGTGGTGCGTGCCTGTAATCACAGCTATTCGGGAGGCTGAGGCAAGAGAATTGCTTGAGACAGAGGTTGCAATGAGCTGAGATCACAACATTGCCCTCCAGCCTGGGGGACAAGAATGAAACTTCATCTCAAAAAAAAAAAAAATAAGAAAGAAAGAAAAGAAAAAGAGGTTTATTGGACTCACAGTTCCACATGACTGGGGAGGCCTCATAATCATTGCAAAAGGCAAAGGAAGAGCAAAGGCATGTCTTACATGGTGGCAGGCAAAAGATCCTGTGCAAGGGAACTACCCTTTATAAAACCATCACATCTCATGAGAACAGCACAGGAAAACCCACCCCCATTACCCCATTAGTTGGTAATTTGTGTCTTCTCTTCTTTTGTTTTTGTCAATCTTACTAGAAGTTTATCAATTTTATTGATGTTTTTCCTAAGAATCAGATTTTTTTTTTTTTTTGAGCCCTCTCTCACCCAGGCTGGAGTGCAATGGCACACTCTCCACTCACTGCAGCCTCCACCTCCTGGGTTCAAGCGATTCTGCCTCAGCCTCCTGAGTAGCTGGAACTATAGGCACATGCCACCACACCCAGCTAATTTTTGTATTTTTAGAAGAGACAGGGTTTCACCATGTTGGCCAGGGTAGTCTTGATCTCTTGACCTCGTGATCCGCCCACCTCGGCCTCCCAAAGTGCTGGGATTACAGGCATGAGTCACTGCGCCCGGCCTCCTTTTTTCTAATGTAAGCATTTAGTGCTATCAATTTCCCACTAAACACTGCTTTCCCTGCATCCTACATATTACGATAGGCTGCATTTTTGTGTTCATCCTGTTCTACATAATTTTTCATAGTCAGCAGTGTACATTATTTATTATTCATGATCCACTGTCGTACAAATGATGTCGTGAAGAACTTCCATTTACCAACAATTCTGAACCATGTCTTGTGTAAAAAACAAACAAAACAGAAATGTTCTCAAACTCAGGCGTACATCTGAAAACAAACAAACTTGGAGGAAAGTTAGAAAGAAACTATATTGGAAGGAGAGGGTGTAGGGACGCTGTCAGCTCAGCCATGTGTAGGTTTCTTGAAGGTCCAATCTTCTCATGTGAGAGAGAAAGTATGGAACATTTGCCAGCTGGTGCACACCAAATCAATCCTCTTTTCAGTATTGAAACAAACAGCAACTTATTAAAAACTTGGCTTCTCTGCTTTACAGGGAATTGGACTACCTCTGTGGCTTTCAATATTGTATTGTCAGGAAAGTTTTCTTGTTGGGATTGTGTATGTATTTGCTAATTATTTCTACCTTTGAGACTTCTTTTCTAACCCATAGATTATTTAGAAGTGCGTTTAATTCCTACATGTTTAGAGGTTTTCTGTTTCTTTTTCTGTAATTGTTTTCTAGTTCAATTCCATTATGGTTAGAGAACACATTTTCTATAATTTCTTTTTCTTTTTTCATTTGTTGAAGTTTGGTTTATGGCCCAAGATATGATCCATCTTGGTGAATGCTTCATGGACACCTGGGGAAAAATGTATATTCTGTTGTTGGAAGGAGTGTTTGATAAATGTCAATTAGAGCCTGTGGATTGATGGTGCTCTTCAGATCTATATACTCTCTGGTTTTCCAATAGTACTATCAGTTGCTGAGTGGAGGATTTTAAAGTCCCCAACTATGATTGCGCATTTGTCTATTTCTCCTTTTAGCTGTATACTATTTACTTCATGTATTTTAAGGCTCTCTTTTTTGGTACATTCACATTTACAATCACCATGTCATCCTGATAGATTAATCCTTTTTTATTGTCATTGAACTGTTTGTTTTTCTCTCTCTCTCTCTCTCTTTCTTTCTTTCTGTCTGTCTGTCTTCTAGGCTCCCAGGCCCACTTCCCCCTACAGATCTTGGCAGGGGATGAGGCCTAGGATTATGCTTTTTTTTTTTTTTTTTAGACAGGGTCCTGCTCTGTTCACTCTGTCGCCCAGGCTGAAGTGCAGTGACCCGATGTAGGCTCACTGCAACCTCTGCCTCCTGGGCTCATGCAATCCTCCCACCTCATCCTCCCAAGTAGCTGGGACTATACATGCCTGCCACCACACTGGCTAATTTTTGTATTTTTTGTAGAGATGGGGTTTTGCCATGTTGCCCAGGATGGTCTCAAACTCCTGGGCCTCAGCAATTATTTGTGTTTTCTACATCTTTGAGGCAGTTTCAATAACCTACATTTTCCCAGAAATCTTCAGCCTTATTGAGGTTCTCAAAATATTTTGTTAAACTGTTGCATATTGAGTGTATATGCATACATGATGTTTTTATATTTATACAATATTTGCAATTATCTATAAATAGTGTATACTTTACAGCATTGTTTGTAAGATGTTATAATGTACATAAATATGATTGTACTTTATGTATCCATTTGCCAATTGCTTTTCTCACTCAATCGGAGTCTTCAAGATGTATCCGTGTTGGCACATAAAGACAGCTGATTACTTTGCACTGGTGTGTGGGCGATCCTTTGTATAAATAAACAGTAACAGTTAATTTACTCACATGCCTCATTTTTCCTGTGGTGAGTTTTCAGTATTTGATGGACCTGGGGAGGCTTGGTAGCAGGACAATTGGCAGGACTGCTAGCCAGAAGCCAGTTTATTTTTACTCTTCTCATCTTCCCTCCCCCATGCCCCCACTTACTCCTCCCAGGGCCTCTTTTTCTTTTCTTGAATCTGTCCCTGCAATTTCCCATGCCAAGTCTTCATTTACACCTTGAGATGCTTTTCTACCCCTTTCGAATTTTACCCACTTAGCAAGACCCAGTGCAAATGTTACCTCCAAACCTCATCTTTTCTTCTCCAACTCTGCCATGGCATATTATTTGACTCTCTATCGCATTCTTTGTTTTCTTTTTTTGCAACATTAGGCATTATTTGTGCTATTTTTAACAACAAGGACTAGGATTTATTCACCTTTGTATCCCTTCTCTCTCTAGATCTACTCAACTCCCAGCATTGTGCCTAGAACACGTTGCGTGCTTGATAGACATTTTGAAATCAACACATTAATGAACTAAGCCTGTGGTCTTTAAACAACCCCTAAATAACATCCCCAATTGGGTATGCATGGACTCATTTGAACATGGAACCAAATTCCACAGGGCTCACTGTCTATTTTTCTGGAGGAGCTTTTCTGGAACCAAGCCCAGGAATCTTCCAGTCCTGTCCTGGCTACATCCCCACAGCTTTCATGGATGCCAGGGAGGGGCCCCAAGTGGTAGAGGCCACCCCCTCTGCCGTCAACAACTAGCAAGTTTTAGAATCCTAATGCGATAAGATTTTTAGGGGTGGCAAGTGAGAAGTTCTTACCCCTCCAGCTGGGGAGTTATCAGAGATGACATTGATAATAATGGTGATATTCACGGACAATAATTACAATTAACAGAGCACTTAGGAAAAGTAACCAAGGGACTCTCCTTGGCAACTTACAAACGTCCAGCTGTACTCACAGCTAGGGTGCTTCCTGGCTAGCGTTTATTAGCTCCCAGGCTCTGCCATAAGTGCTCTACACAGAATTTTGTTTTGTTTTGAGACAGTTTCACTCTTGTTGCCCAGGCTGGAGTGCAATGGCTCACTGCAACCTCTGCCTCCTAGGTTCAAGTGATTCTCCTGCCTCAGCCTTCCAAGTAGCTGGGATTACAGGCTCATGCTACCACGCCCAGCTAATTTTTGTATTTTTAGTAGAGACGGGGTTTCACCATGTTGGCCAGGCTGGTCTAGAACTCCTGATCTCAGGTGATCTGCCTGCCTCGGCCTCCTAAAGTGCTGGGATTACAGGCGTGAGCCACTGCGCCCAACCTTACACAGAATGATTTTTTAAAATCTAACCTTTTCAGAACCTTATGAAGTAGGAATTATTATTATTCCCCTTTTACTGATGGGAAAATTGGGGCCTCGAGAGGTAAAATCAGCTGTCCCTGGCACCCACAAGGTGGCAGAGCCAGGATGCAAACTCAAGTTTTTCTGGGTTTCTCCAAATGCCATTTCTTTCCTCTTTCCTGCTCTCCCTCACTCTCTTTCTTTGTTCCTTCCTTCTGAACATTATTTTTTGATTATACAGAGAAACCCTGAATACATTTTTCTAAAACTCCAGATCATATGGATAGAGTACAAGCCTCCTTTATCCTTCTCCTTCCTTTTATTCATACATAGAAAGATATCATTTTAATTGATTTTTTGAGCTTCCAACTTGGTTTTTGAATTATTATTATTATTATTATTATTATTATTATTTTTGAGACAGAGTCTTGCTCTGTTGCCCAGGCTGGAGTGCAGTGGCACAATCTCGGCTCACTGCAACCTCTGCCTCCTGGGATCAAGTGATTCTCCTGCCTCAGCCTCCAGAGTAGCTGGGACTACAGGCGCCCACCACCACGCTGGCTAATTTTTTGTATTTTTAGTAGAGACAGGGTTTCACCATGTTAGCGAGAATGGCCTCGATCTCCTGACCTCATGATCCGCCCGCCTCAGCCTCCCAAAGTGCGGGGATTACAGGTGTGAGCCACTATGCCTGGCCTTTGAATTATTTTTTGAATAAACAATAGATTCCCATGGCTCAGAAATGAAACTAACTAACAAGGTGTCCCGTGGAGTCCACCTCTGCCCAATATTGCCCCTCCCCACTTACAGGGGGCTGCTGGCTTATTTTCTGAATGTCCTCGAGGGAATCTTAATTCACACACATGCATTTCCATGAGTGTTTTCTGAATTCTCCCACTTGGGGGTCAAAAGTTAGCACACTATGCAAACTGTTTTGCATCTTCAACCGTTGTTTGTTAACCATTGTTCCCTGTTGTGTTTTTCCTCCTCATTTCTGGGAAGAAAAAGAGTAGGGCAGGCCGGGCCAGTGTTTCTAAATGGTGGCATTTGTTCTGACACCACTTATCTTCCTCCCTGCAGCTCCTTCCCCCACTTCTGGTTTTATTTATTATTTATTTATTTTGAGACAGAGTCTTGCTCTGTCACCCAGGCTGGAGTGCAGTGGCATATTCTCGGCTTACTGCAATCTCTGCCTCCTGGGTTCAAGCGATTCTCCTGCCTCAGCCTCCTGAGTAGCTGAGATTACAGGTTTGTGCCACCATGCCCGGCTAATTTTTGTATTTTTAGTAGAGATGAGGTTTCACCATGTTGGTCAGGTTGGTCTCGAACTCCTGACCTCAGGCGATCTGCCTGCCTCAGCCTCCCAAAGTGCTGGCATTACAGGCGTGAGACACGGCACCTGGCCCTTCCCGCCTTGTTGGTAGCTCCCCCGCCACTGGCATCTCTGGCCAGGCCTTGGACACCTAAAGCTCCCCCTGGTGTTTCTGCACATGCCTGCTGCCCCATAGACCAGACTAGTCATACCCTTCATTCTTCCATGCCACTGTAGCACGCTAGTGCATGAGCATGAAACCACCTTTGCAAAAATCATAACTGAGAAAATTATGACGGGCAGGTATGGTGGTTCATGACTGTAATCCCAGCACTTTGGGAGGCCAAGGCAGGTGGATCACCTGAGGTCGAGAGTTCAAGACCAGCCTGGCCAAAATGGAGAAACTCCGTCTCTACTAAAAACACAAAAATTAGCCAGGCATGGTGGCACATGTCTGTAATCTCAGCTACTTGGGAGGCTAAGGCACAAGAATCACTTGAACCCAGGAGGCAGAAGTTGCAGTGAGCCAAGATCTTGCCATTGCACCCCAGCCTGGATGACAGAGTGAGATTCTGTCTCAGAAAAATAAAGAAAGAAAATTACAATAATGAAAGAGATCAGACCTAACTGACCCCATCTTGCTTCTAACCTGTAAACTGTCCTTGTTCATTCCTGGGCATAGGTCAAACTAGCTTTCGGAAGGAATTTAGTGTATGGTTTAAGTAATGGCCCTTCCCAAAAGGCTAAACTCTTGTAAAACAAATGAAAGGCCACCACCAAGTCAAGATGAGAGGGGCTGGAATTCTAAATATTACCAACCATCATTCCAGAGGTCATAAGATTTCAACTTCCTCAATTACTCTTGAAGGTGACATCACTCTTATGAACCTAAGATTGGCTTTTTGAGATGTCTTTTCAGGCTTTTGCATTTCTAACAACTGGATGGCCCCACCTGGATCTGCCAACCAGTTCTGCGGCCCCCAATCAGGAACTGACTCAGCAGAAGAGAACTGCTTGGACTCCCTGTGATTTTATCCCCGAGACAACCAATTGGCACTCCCAATTCACTGGCCCCCTACCCACCAAATTATCCTTAAAAACTCTAATCCCTGAGTTTTCAAGGAAACTGATTTGAGTAATAATAAAACTCCGGTCTCCTGCACAGCCGGCTCTGCATGAATTTCTCTTTTTCCATTGCAATTCCCCTGTCTTGATAAATTGGCTCTGTCTAGGCAGCAGGCAAGGTGAACACATTGGGCGGTTACAAGCATGCTTTCTATGTCAGACAAAGGTCTTCATGATGGCATTGCCAGAGGTGTGGGAGGAAAAAAATTAGAGAAAGGGGCTTCATGAAGACTGATGAGTGGCTGCAGCTTCTTTAGATAGAAGGAGTAGGCCGGGTGCAGTGGCTTACGCCTGTAATCCCAGCACTTTGGGAGGCTAAGGTGGGCAGATCACTTGAGGCCAGGAGTTTGAGACCAGCCTGGCCAACATGGTGAAACCCTGTCTTTACTAAAAATACAAAAATTAGCCGGGTGTGGTGGCAGGCGCCTGTAATCCTAGCTACTCGGGAGGCTGAGGCAGGAGAATTGCTGGAACCCGGCAGGCGGAGGTTGCAGTGAGCTGAGATCGCACCACTGCACTCTAGCCTGGGCAACAGAGTGAGACACTGTCTCAAAAAAAAAAAAAAAAAAAACATGGAAGAAGCAGTGAGAGTCAGATTGTAGCAGGATAAGCCGCAAACAAAACTCCTCAGACACCGGGTTAAAGAAGGAAGGAGCTTTATTCAGCCAGGAACTTCGGCAGACTTGCGTCTCAAAAGCCGAGCTCCCCAAGTGAGCAATTCCTGTCCCTTTTAAGGGCTTACAGCTCTAAGGTGGTCTGCGTGACAGAGTCGTCATCGATTGAGCAAGCAGGGGGTACATGACTGGGGGCTGCATGCACCAGTAATCAGAACAGAACAGAACAGGACAAGGATTTTCACAATGCTTTTCCATACAATGTCTTGAATCTATAGATAACATAACTGGTTAGGTCCGGGGTCGATCTTTAACTACCGGGCCCAGGGCGCAGCACCAGGCTGTCTGCCTGTGGATTTCATTTCTGCCTTTTAGTTTTCACTTCTTCTTTCTTTGGAGGCAGAAATTGGGCATAAGACAATATGAGGGGTGGTCTCCTCCCTTAAGATGGTTTCTATCTCAGGCAGTCGCCTCACTGCCACCAGGTGAAAACACGACACCTTCCCACCTCCTGCAGCTGCTGTCCCTGCCAGACCCAGCCCTCCTGCTCCTTTGTGTGCCCAGGGCCAGCAGTGACTCACCAGTGACCTTAATCCTGGCTGCTCTCCCAGGAAGGCAACCACTGACACCTGGCTCCTCCCTTGGGAACTGAAGCTGACAAAGCCACTTTTTGCCACTGCCTTGCCCTGAGTGGGTTCCATCTTTGGGGATGCTAGATTAAAAATTGAAAACTTGATTGAATAGATCCAACACCAAGATCAGAATCTCCTAATTTTGTGGTGGTGGACACTACCTCTGAAGCTACATTGAGTTCATTCTGAATTCACTGGATAAATATGGAGAGCTTCCAGGTCTGGAGATGAGGCACTGCTCTCATGGGACTTACATTTTGGAAGAGGAGACAGCCAATCAAATCCCACTCCCCCCAAATAAAATTTATATCTGTGTACCTTATTGTCAATGCCCTCCATCAGAAACACCTGTAGTTGAACAACTTGAGCTTATTGTTGCGAGGGAGACCACACATGATAGGGTAACCATGGGGCATCTCAGTTCAAGCATGTTAAGAAGAACCTGTAATAGGATTTGGGCTTTGGTTGGGTGGCTTTGGAGAGGACCCAAGGAAGTAGGGATTTGCTCTGCATCAGCTACCCTCAGAAAGCAGGGATAAGTCTGGGACAGGGTATCTTATCCAAAAGGACAGCAGACTAGAGTGAGGCTAAAGCTACAATTCACTGAGAGGCAGCAGTCATTCATAGCAGCCAGGAGAGGAGGATGTTTGACACTTTGGGGCTTGGACAATGTTGGTGCTTTGTCTGTGTTCAGACATGATGATGGAGTGGGCTCGTTTGTCTTGACCACTCATGGTCACAGAGTGCTCTTTTCTTTTTTTTTTTTTTAGATGGAGTCTTGCTCTTGTCATTCAGGCTGGAGTGCAATGGCGCAGTCTAGGCTCAATGCAACTTCTGCCTCCCGGGTTCAAGTGATTCTCTTGCCTCAGCCTCCTGAGTAGATGGGATTACAGGTGCCCGCCACCATGCCTGGCTAATTTTTGTATTTTTAGTGGAGACAGGGTTTCGCCATGTTGGCCAGGCTGGTCTTGAACTCCTGACCTCGTGATCCACCCGCCTCAGCCTCCCAAAGTGCTGGGATTACAGGTGTGAGCCACCGCACCTGGCCAGAGTGCTCTTTTCTGATGCTGATGGTCTGGGACATTGTTTATGTTCAACATGAGAGTACCAAGGCCTAGCTATGCATGCAGGCCAGCTCCTCCCTGCCAGGGGTTGCCTCTCTCTCTCTCTCTCTCTCTCTCTGTCTCTGTGTGTATGTGTATATACTTTCAGGTGGAAGTAAGTGCCTTGGAGATATGGACTAGGGTGAGGGCCTGCCAGGAGTGGGGAATGTGGCTGCTCAGGGTGGTCAGGAGGGCCTAGGTGGCAAGGTGACATGTGAGCAGAAACCAGAAGGAAGCGGGGAAGGGAAGCATGTGGCCCTCTGAGGGAGCGCAATCCTATAGAGCAACAAGGGCAAGGCCCTGAGTGGGAGTGGGCTTGGCCTGTTTGAGGCCTTGAAAAGGGATCAGTGGGTCTGGAGCAGAGCATGTCAGGGTCAGGAACAGGGAGGTGGGAGTTGAGGTGTGAGAGTGGCCCAGGCCAGACCAGGGCAGGCTTGTGGGCCGATGGTAGGACTCTGGCCTTCACTCTGAGTGAGGTGGGAGCTACTGGTGGATTTCGAGGGGTAGACAGACATAACGAAATTATCTTATAAAAAGATCCCTCTGGCTGCTGTGTTGAGAACAGATTCTATGGGAGCAGTGTGGAAGAGGGAGATGGCCTGGAGGCTGCCATAATGTCACAGAGGAGAGAAAATGACAGTGTCTCTAGACCAGCCTGGGGGTGGCAGTGGAAGTAGTAAGTACTCAGACTCAACAGGGATTTCCTGATGGATTGGACATGGGGTAGGAGAGAATGATGCCAAGTTTTATCTTACAAAAGGAAAGACTGCGTTGTCCTTTCCTGAGATGGGGAAGCCCACAGGGAGAGCAGCCATAGGAGCTCAGCGGAGACAGTTTGAGGGTAAGGTGCCCTAGACATGCACATGGAGATACCCAGTAAGCAGCTGCACCCATGGGCTTGGAGCTTATGGAGAAGGCGGGGTGGGAGCACAGAGTTGGCAGTTGCCAGTGCTTATATGAACGTAAGGCATGGGCTTGGATGAAATCACTTAGAAGGTGTAGGTAGGGAAGGGAATAGGTCTTCTTATCTCCCTATGCTCCCTACGCTCGCTTCCCGGGCGCTCCAATATTTGTAGGTCTGAGAAGTGAGGGGGAATCAGCAGAGGAGACTAAAAAGAACACCTGAGAAGGTAGAAAGGAAACCAAGAGGCCAGGCGCGGTGGCTCACGCCTGCAATCCCAGCACTTTGGGAGGCCAAGGTGGGCAGATCACCTGAAGTCGGGAGTTTGAGACCAGCCTGACCAACATGGAGAAACCCCGTCTCTACTAAAAATACAGAATTAGCCAGGCGTGATGGTGCATGCCTGGTGATCGCAGCTACTCGGGAGGCTGAGGCAGGAGAATCGCTTGAACTCGGGAGGCAGAGGTTGTGGTGAGCTGAGATTGCGCCATTGCACTCCAGCCCGGGCAACAAGAGTGAAACCCCATCTTTAAAAAAAAAAAAGAACCAAGAATTTGATCATCTATTAACGAACATATATTGAATTCTATACATCATCCCAGAATTTCTGAGACTTCAGATTCTGGGCCACCAGGAATACTAGCTAGATGGCAATGCTGGGAGGAAGGTATTGGTAAGGATTGTTGGTGGACAACAGGCATCTATTCCCTCTTCCTTGTTAACAGAACCCTGACTTTGAGGAGGTGATGTACTAACATAAAAGTCTACATTTCCCAGCTGCTCTTGCAGGTAGGAAAACTAAATTCTGTCCATAAACAAAAGTGTTGTGTGGGACTTCTGCAGTCTGCATAAATAGAGCTAACCAGGCTGGAAGACACACATCTCATGCTCTTCCGCCATTATTCCTTCCTACTGTCTGGGATATAGGTGTCAGAGTTGGAGCCCTAGCAGCCATCTTGGACTATGGGGCAACCTTGCAAATGGGAACCAAGCATTACAGATGAAGGAATAAAAATACAGTAGCCCGTGTTTCTGACAACTGTGGAGTTGCCAACAAAGGATAGCTTAACTTTAGCTTTATTTTGCATAAGCAAGAAACTTCTATCTTGTTTCAGTCACAGTTAATTTTGGGTTTTCTGTCATATGCAGTAAAAACTAATTCTAACGGATATGAGATTTATTCACAGTATTTCAAAACTGTGTAGACAACTTTGATGCAGCCCTAAGAGTTCTGAGATGAATTCATGGTCCCTGCCCTCCCAGAGCTCCCTGCACAGCAGGTGGACTAGCTAAGCAGGCCATTACAACACTGGCTGGTAAGGGCTGCGTTGACGGTAATGCTCCAGGGTCCGCAATAGATGGCAAGGCAAACTTCCGCTCTTCCTCTCATCTTCTTTCAAATCGTACCTAAATTCGATTAACTCCACACGTGTTCTTAGTCTGATTTTGTCCCATTGCTTACACTGTATTTGATTTTAATATATTCTAGTACCTAATTTAAGCCTTGGAGTTGAAGAGAGAAAAAATTATAATGTGGACCAGATTTTACTGGGCGGTTGGCACTTATAATTTTACAGCGAACCTGCATAAAATAATAAGCAACAGTTATAAACTTGCCAAGAATCAATTTTGCATGTGGAGCTTCATTCAACCAACAATTCTATAAACACTCTAGTGCTAGAAAATCGGCAGGATAAAACTACAAATGTGATCTCTGTCATTTCCTTAATGAAGTAATTACTTTGATGCTAATGTGTTGGAGCTGGTTCCTTCCGGTGGGTTGGTGGTCTCGCTGACTTCAGGAATGAAGCTGCGGACCTTCACGGTGAGTGTTACAGCTCTTAGAGGTGGCGTGAACCCAAAGAGTGAGCAGCAGAAAAATTTACCGTGGAGAGCGAAAGAACAAAGCCCCCACAGCGCCAAAGGGGACCCAAGTGGGTTGCTGCTCCTGGCTGGGGGGCGGCCAGCTTTTATTAGCTTATTTGTCCAGGCCCATGTGCTGCTGATTGGTCCATTTTACAGAGTGCTGATTGGTCCGTTTTACAAACCTCTAGCTAGCCACAGAGTGCTGATTGGTGCATTTCTACAGAGCACTAATTGGTACATTTTACAAACCTCTAGCTAGATACAGAGCGCTGATTGGTGCATTTTACAATCCTCTTGTAAGACAGAAAAGTTCTCCAAGTCCCCACTGGACCCAGAAAGTCCAGCTGGCTTCACCTCTCACTACCTTTTCTCTTCAGAAGGCACCTTAACAGTGCACTTGGCAAGCTTCTTACCTCTGGCCAATATTGTTCATAAATATCAGAACCCTGGTGCCTTAGATGTCTGCAGATCTGGGCCAAATGGAAGCACAAATCTGTACTGAGCACTTACTACATGCCAGGCCTATTCCATATGTTATCTTAATCTTTCCCATACCCCTGCAAGAAAGGTTTTAGAATCCTCTTCACCAGTAAGAACCAGACACCAGAGAGTCTGAGCCATCTGCTTCAGTCCTACCCAGCTCTTGAGGGGCAGGGCGGGGCTTCAAACCCAGAACATCAAGCTGTTTCCCAAAAATGCCTTCCCTGGTGGTATCTTCTCATCATCTCCCAGTCTTTTAACCCTGGCATATCTGTCCTGTCTAAGCAGCTTTCTACCCAGGGGCTCTATTTCCCAGGTTCCACTAGTCACAATCCTATCCCCTCTCCCAAATCTTTGTACACTTTCTTAGACCTTCCTTGCACCTCCCACCTCCACCTCCGTCAGGGTGACCTCTGCTTCCTGGGAATTTCCCCGCCCCAGGCTTGGCTCTTTCGTTCTTATCACTTTCTATGCTTTACCTTTTGTATCCTTAAGCAACCTACTTGAATTATCGATTTTCATTGGGAGGGAGAAAAGAGAGGACATTTATTGCGCACTCATTTGTCTGGGAATTTGTCTCCTTTAATCCCCCAAATAATCCGATGAGGAGTTTTTATCTGCCGCTTTACGGATGAGATTGGACACACACAGTAAGCTGAAGTAGTAGTCAGGAGGGAAAAGGACGAAGAATCACAAACCGTTCTCCCCCTCCAAGATGAGTGCATGGTGTGGGCGTCCAGGAAACGTTCCTGGAAGAAATTATTGGATGGATGGATGAATGAATGAATGAACGAACATTTAAAGGCTGGCTTACGAAAGGAGTTTAGTGAGAAATGACACAGAGAGGAGAGCTGAAATACTCCAAAAAATACAGATTTCAAGTACAGGTGGGGTTTGGAGGCTGCAGAAAGTCCCAAACATTCAAACAAGCCCAGAGTGAAAGACAGGGTTTCATTAACACTCGGGCAACTACTAGTGTGGCTCTGAAGAGTCTAAAGAGATCTACAACACTTGTGACCCGAACACAAAAGAGGCATATGCAATCTACAGTGCTCCCTCTGGAAAGCTCTAGAACACCGTCGCGTTTTGTTCCCAAACTTGGGCGGCGGGGTTGGGCAGGCGCCTGTCTCTTTAAGAATCTGGTCGAAGTCCTTTTCCTCGCCCCGCCCCGCCCCCGGTCCCCCCCCCTCCCCGCCCCCGGCCCCCCACCCCCCGGTGCCGGCGCGGCCTGGGGCCCACCCCCTTCTTTTCTGCGGCTGCACTGAAGGGTTCGGCTGCCCATCCGTCACAGAGGCGATGCCTCTGATTGGCTGCTGCTCTTCGGGCCGGGAGGCGGGGCGGGAAGGCCGGAGAAACTAGTTTGTTGGCGGCGCCTAGGCTGTATCGCAGCGAGAGCGTTTTTGCCTGTGGAGAGCCGGCCGACGGGAGCCGCGGCGGAGCCTGTTGAGCTCGCGCGGGCTGCCGGGAGTGGTCTCTGAGGCGGCGGCGGCGGCGGGGATCGTCTCCGGCAGTGAGTATCCAGGCCGGGCGGGGACGCCGTGCTCTGGCCGCAGCACCCGCGCCCCCGCTCCCTGCGCTGGGGACTCACCACCCCGGGCCGGGCCGGGACCAAGCGCTCGGAGCCCCCGCGGGACTACGTGTCCCGGGAGGGGGCCCCGCGGCTGGGGCCGGGGCCCTGGGACAATGGTGGGGAGCGGCGGCCGGCCGGCACCCCGCGGCTCCGCGAGGGAATTCGCCGAGAGCTCTGCGCGAGGGAATGAATTGTTTGGCAAATGGATGTTGCGCGCGGGAGCCGCTACTCTTTCCCCAGGGAGTGGTTGATTCATTGAGTCCGCAGACTCTTTTTTTTAAAAAATTACTATTGATCCTGGAAAGAGAGACTGCTTGTCTTTGAGGACGCGAGCGGCGATGCCCCGCGCCTTGGACGCCCAGGCCGGATGGCTGCCTGCCTGGCGCAGAGCGAGGGCCCGGGGTTCACAAGGGGAGGGTTTGCGCGGGCCTGGCCGCGGAGCCCCGAGCCGTTCACGTTCCGCCTGCCAGGGTCCCTCGTTTCGGTTTGCAGAACTGTCCAGCGGCAGAGAAAGGTCGCACTCAAAGGCACACCCACCTGTCCACCTGGGTGGCGGCCAGACTGGCAGGTCCAGAGCAAGCCCTCTAGCCTGACTCTAATTACCACACTTGCCCTGGCTCCGAGACACACCGCGCGATGTTACGCCCCCACTCCCCCTGTCTCTTTCGTAGTTGCTTTAGAAGCTTTTCTCTTGGGGGATTGTGCCCGGGAGATACCAGATACTTTTTTTGTGTTGCTGCTCTAAGCCCCCAAAGTGCATTCCCATTGTCTTTGAACAAAGAAACATCTCTCTAGAGGCCTGACCCAACGAACTGTGGGTGAGGGGGCGGACCCAGGCCCCTGCAGATTTAATCTGGACGCTCTTGGGTCCTGCTGGATCCCGGTGAATTTGACCTTGGGGAAGGCGGGCTGGACTTTGACTCTCCTCGGTAGTCAGGGCAGAGAATGCCAGGTGTCTGGACCATTTGGTTCCACTCTATCGGCCCAATAGAGAGAGGAAGGGAAGGAAGTTAGCAGTAGCACCAGGAGAGGAGGCAGGATTCCACGGTCTGTATCCTGGACCAGATTCCAGTGACCGTTATGGGGCCAAGCCCTCTGGGACCCTGGGTCCCAGTCTCCCCATTCATAGGAGGAACTGATGCTCAGTGTGCTGATCTGAGCTGTGAGGATTCCTGGCATGTTGGTGAAGGCTTGCGTGGGGGTCTGGGGAAGAGTAGGACACAAAGTCTACCCCACCTCAGGGTCCATTTGGTGTCCCAAGACCGGAGGCTCTTGGGTCCACAAGCTGTGCCTGTGAAGGTTGACGTAGTCAGTCTTTTTCCGGCCTGGCAGCTATTTCAGTTTTGAGTCATTTGTCAGGCAGTGACTCCAGGGTGGTTGATAAAAGGGAGGTAGAAATGGAAGACACCTTCATCCTGGGGTCTTGGGCTGCAGTTGGATTTATGTATGTGGTGCGGAGAGAAGAGCTATAGGCAAATTGCATGCTCCACATCGGAAGCAGGTTCTGCAGCCCGATGCCCCTTAATAGCGTTTTAAATCTGCGGGCACCCCGTGTGGGCAGAAGAGAGCAGGAAGAAAAGAGAACAATTACCCAGTGAAAGCAAGCTTGGTTCGTCCCGTCTATCACTTGGGCGGGGGCGGGGGGAAGGGTAGGATGAGTGAGAGTGTTATTTAGTGGGTGGTTTGTGACTGATTGATTGATTGATTCATTGTTTGAACAGACTTGATTGGGCACCTGCTGTGTGCCAGGCCCTGAGTTAGGTGCTGGAGACTCTTCCTTTAGTGAGCACCTAGATGAGGGAGTGCTGGCACATGGATTAGGGGCCCTGACACATCGTAGTG
Organism: Homo sapiens; assembly: GCF_000001405.40. Lineage (NCBI taxonomy): Eukaryota > Metazoa > Chordata > Mammalia > Primates > Hominidae > Homo > Homo sapiens. Next base: position 85,792,863 of record NC_000015.10, on the reverse strand, counting down.
ATAGAGGCAGCAAGAGGAGAGAAGGAGACACAGGTGGGCAAGGCTTCCTGGGGAGAGGATGCCTTGACTAAGATGAGAAAGGCATGTCATCGCCCAGATTCGAGGTGTAGGGCAGCCACCTTTGTCCTGTCGCTCACCCACACTTCTCCCAGAGGCCCAATTCATTGCCAGCCTCAAGATAGGCACAGGTTGAGGCCATGGAGAATGCAAGTGGGAGGTGGTAGAAGGTTTGCTCTCGTCCGTAGTGTCTGGCCGCACAGTCAGCAGTCCAGCGCATTTGTAGGAAGCTGGATGGCTTCTGGATGCAGCCTCTCTTCTCTGGGGGTCCTGGGAGAACCTACCCCCTGGTCCCAAAGACCAGCCCATTGTCTGAGCCCCTAGTCCCTCTGTACCACCAGGCAGTGTAGGCATAGCCTGGCCAGTGTGGGCAGAGCTGGCACAAGAAAACAGAGTGGCCAGACACAAATGAATTGGTTGATTGAGATGCTGGTTTTCATCTAATGTGGTAAATTTCATAATTTAATTGCCTCAGCCAGCCAAGGCTGTTGAAGCATTTTCCTCACCAGGAAACACTTAGTTGGAACAAGCTGGGGGTAGAGGAGGGAGGTGCAGGGGAGGAGGGAGGAGGGAGAACTTAAGCATCCACAGCTTTCAGTCACAGCATCCCAACAGGACTTATCAATCAGCAGCTATCCCCAGCTGATGGAAGTCAGCCCAGCCCCTACAGTAGGTTCCAACCCCTTTCCTTGACCACCTCATTGCCATACCAACCTAAAGCTGTCAAAAGCTGACACCTGTCATCTTCAAGGCATAATCATCCCATACTGCCTCCAGGTCCTTCTGGGGCTGTTAGAAACTGGGGAAGGGGTGCTGTGGGATTAGGTGGGGAAGCGAAGGGGTTTGGGGATAGGAAGGGCTCCCTGTTAAGTCCTTTTAACCCAGGAGCAGTGGAAAGAGCATGGGCTTTGGCACCAGACTGGGGTTCAAATGCTGTGGGTCTGTGATCAAGTTCCTTAACCTCATTGAGCTTTGTTAGCTTTTTTCAGGGGTATGGTGAAGGTTAACCACCATACTATGCAGAATCCCCTAGAATGGGGTCTGGCACCAAGTGGGTGTCAGTCATGCCGGGCTCCCCTTTCCCTTTTTTGTTTTTGTTCCCTGGGTGCAGAATTGAGGTTGGGTGCTTGTTGCTCTGCAGCTGACTTGCAGCCCTCCCCTGAGTCCCCAGTCACCTCACCCCCGCCCCCTACCTCTCTTGCCACTCTTTCTTACTGCTAAACCTTTCCTGCTTTCCTTCCAAGCCCTGTCCCAGCACCCTGTTGGATGATAAACGATAGATGTGTGTGGCTTATTAACCTTTTTTTCTTTTGAGAAGGAGTCTCGCTCTGTCGCCCAGGCTGGAGTGCAATGGCGCCATCTTGGTTCACTGCAACTTCTGCCTCCTGGATTCAAGTGATTCTCCCGCCTCAGCCTCCTGAGTAGCTGGGATTACAGGCACACACCACCATGCCTGGCTAATTTTTGTATTTTTGTAGAGACGGGGTTTCTCCATGTTGTCCAGGCTGGTCTTGAACTCCTGATCTCAGGTGATCCACCCGCCTCAGCCTCCTAAAGTGCTGGGATTACAGGCATGAGCCACTGTGCCTGGCATTTTTCTTTTTTTTTTTTTGAGACTGAGTCTTACCTTGTAGCCCAGGCTGGAGTGCAGTGGTGTGATCTCAGCTCACTGCAATCTCCACCTCTCAAGTCAACCAGTTGTCTGCCTCAGCTTCCCCAGTAGCTGGGATTACAGGCACCCGCCACCATGCTCGGCTTTTTGTATTTTTAGTAGAGACAGGGTTTCACCATGTTGGCCAGGCTGGTCTTGAACTCCTGACCTCGTGATCCACCTGCCTTGGCATCCCAAAGTGCTGGGATTACAGGTGTGAGCCACCGCACCTGGCCTTTTTTTTTTTTTTTTAAATGGCAGCTCTGTGGTCTCAGAAATCAATTTCATTGAGAAATTGCACCATATTTTCTGCAAATACATAAAAATCTTCCTGGTCATACTTTTCTCCCACAGTGGTCTCCTGTTCCCTGAGTTGGGTACAGAGTCTGTATGAGGCTCACCTGGGCCACTTCTTGTTTCAGCGTGACCAAGGCCCGAGGCCAACTCCGTCTCTTCACCATCCCATAGCTAGAGCCCTCAGACCTGGAACCTGTTGGCAGAAAGAGCACTTGAGTCAGAGTAGGGGAGTCGTGCTTGGCCCCAGCTTGCCTGTGTGACTACATGCAGGTTCCCTTACCCCTGTGAGCCTCAATTTGCTCTCCTGTATAATACTTCTATTAAATGTTTTGCTATAAAATTTCAAAAGTTCTTGCAAGCTCTGGTGTTCAGCAGTTTTATAAGGCTCGAGTTACTTGCTTAGCCTTTCTGGTCAGGAAGAGCTTGAACAGCCAGTAGAGTACAGAGGGGCCAATTTAGAAGTCAGGAATGGACCGGGCGAGGTGGCTCACCCCTGTAATCCCAGTGCTTTGGGAGGCCGAGGTGGGCGGATCACCTGAGGTCGGGAGTTTGAGACCAGCCTGACCAACATGGAGAAACCGCTTGTTTACTAAAAATACGAAATTAGCTGGGTGTGGTGGCTCATGCCTGTAATCCCAGCTACTTGGGAGGCTGAGGCAGGAGAATCACTTGAACTGGGAGGCGGAGGTTGCAGCGAGCCGAGATTGCACCATTGCACTCCAGCCTGGGTGACAAGAGCGAAACTCCGTCTCAACAACAACAACAAAAGAAGTCAGGAATGGGGTTCTAGTTCCAGCTCTGCCTTGGATGTGTGCTGTGGGAATTGGGCAAGTTACTTTCTCTGGGATCTAGTTTTTTCACCTGTAGAGTGAGAGGGGTGACGTAGGCAAGCTCCTAGTTTCCTGAAGACTCGATTCAGATTTTCCCAGTAACTCCAAAGGGACGGGGCTGTTCTCCTTGAGCCTCTGGCAGTTCCCTGTCCCTGCCCACTGCCTCAGAGTTTGAGGCCTCCTGCGAAGGGGCTGGTGGAGACAGAAGACTGCATCAGGGGAGCACCAGGCTGGGCTTAGGGGAGCAGGCGTGGGCTCAAGGGAAGGTGGTGTGTGGGTTACTCATTTCTCAGGGCCATCGCTCTGACTGGTCGTGGGCAGGGAGCTGGGCAGCAGTTCGTGGGAGCACCAGGATGACCCCCTCTGGAATGACTAGGGTGAGACTTCCCTGGTGGGATGTCCCTTGGGCACAGAGCCAGGGCCACCTCCCAGCAGAGAGTTGGACAACGAGCTTTGAGGAGCAAGGGAGATCTTCAGCAGATTAGCTGGACATGGTGGCAGGCGCCTATAATTCCAGCTACTTGGGAGGCTGAGACAGGAGAATCGCTTGAACCCCGGAGGCAGAAGTTGCAGTAAGCCGAGATCGCGCCATGGCACTGCAGCCTGGGCAACAGAGTAAAATTCTGTCAAAAAAAAAAAAAGGGATCTCAAGGGAGCCCAGCAGGGCAGGAGGAGGCGACTGAGCACCAGCCTGCAAGACCAGTTGGATGGCTCCTCCCACGGGGAAGCAGGGCTGAGCAGGCCATGGGAGCGCTGTGCCTGCTGCCACCAGCTCAAGGGCCACATTCACCTTAGGTGTCACTCCCCACCCATCTCTGCCAGGAGGAGCCTTCCACCATCAGCCGAGTGGTGAGGAGTAGGATGCAGGGAAAGGATGGAGACAAAAAAGCCTTGCTTACATTTTTTGCCTGTTCCCATTGGGCCCCCAAGGAGAGGCTGACCACAGATCCATCTAGGCTGAGCAGAATTAATTTCCTAATTAAGATAAGGAGAAGCTGTGCTCATTCAAACTCCAGGACAAGCTGCCAGCCAGGTTTGCTGTTGGCCAGGCCAATTTGTCTGAGAGGAGTGAGGGCCAAGAGATGGAGGAGCTCTTTTTCTAGAAAACCATGGCGATTCCATCCATTGTCCGGAGTTCATGTTCTGCACCCTAGCCAGCTGGGCTTGTGAGACCTTGGCAGCAAGTCCCTTAACCTGTGAACGCTTTTGTTGTTCACAGGCTTGGAAATCTGAGGGAGAAAGGTACCCAGCTTTGTTCATGCAACAAACATTTATTTAGTTTTCTGAATGGCTCGCCGTGGACTAGAAGCTGAGGAAAGAAAGTCAGGTTCAAAGAGCTCCTGCTTGGGAGCTCAGCGTCTGATGTGGGAGGCAGACAGGCGGGTATGGCACAGCGCTAGGGTCTCAATAGTGGGCATGTTGAGAATCTGCCTCAGTTTCCTCATTGATGAGGTGAGGAAGTGGACTGTTGGTTTCCTCATTTCAAATGTGTCCAGGGAATTTTTTTCCCCCATCTGTTCTCTGCCGGGCTCTGGGATTCAGTGGAGAACAAGGCAAGGTCCTCCCCGACCCTCTCCTGATCCCACATTCAGCTGAGGGAGGCAGACAACAGACTGACAAAAATATGCAGCTGCAGAGGAAGTGGACAGGGAGGTGTGGGAAGATGGTCAAGTGAGGATGCCCTCCGAAGAGGGGTCAAGGAAGGCCTCTCTGGGGTGGTGACATTTGAGCCAGCCGTGGGAGGATCAGAGAAAGGCCTGCCAGGTGGGTAGCACAGCTCGTGCAAAGGCTGGGCCTGCGTGGGCTGCGGACAGAGACATCATGAGGCACAGAGAGGTGCCAGACCCTGACATTCTGCAGTCTTCTGGTGCAGGGAGAGACTGAGGATAACATTGTTCTCTTTCATTTTATTGTTTTTCTCTGATTTAAATAATATATCAATGGATTTCCTTTTTTTTTTTTTTTTTTTTTTGAGATCTAGTTTCCCTCTCATTGCCCAGGCCGCAGTGCGGTGGCGCGATCTCAGCTCACCTCCGCTTCCCGGGTTCAAGCAATTCTCCTGCCTCAGCCTCCCAAGTAGCTGGGATTACAGGCGCAAGCCACCACGCCCAGCTAGGATTTCCTTTATAAATGAAAAATATAGGAAAAGATGGAGCACAGTGTGAGGGTCCATCCCCTCCTTTGTATCTGTCCACAGATGGGTGCATACCCTTCTAGTCCTCCGTTGTATGTGCAGATTTTGTGTTTACATAATTTGAATCATACTCAATACTCTACAACTTATACCACTTAGTGTGTGGTGGAGCTCTTTTTCACAGCGTCGTCATATTCCACACTGCAGCCAAACCATCATTTCCTCTCATTGTGTCCTAAGGAGAGACTTTAGGTAATGCCTCATTTTCCCTGTATGATCAATGAAATCTTGTGTGTCCTTCATCATGCATCTTTCTGAGCAAGTGTGATTATTTTAAATTTTCATTGTCAAAGCCAAATGCCCTTTGCAAAGATTTACCCAGTTTACTCTTTCACTAATAATAGTGCCTGAATGCCCATTTCTCTACAGACTCACCTAATTTTTTTTTGAGACTGAGTTTCGCTCTTGTCACCCAGGCTGGAGTGCAATGGCATGATCTCAGGTTACAGCAACCTCTGCCTCCCAGGTTCAAGCGATTCTCCTGCCTCAGCCTCCCAAGTAGCTGGGATTACAGGCAAGCGCCACCACGCCCAGCTAATTTTGTATTTTTAGTAGAGACTGGGTTTCTCCATGTTGGCCAGGCTGGTCTCAAACTCCTGACCTCAGGTGATCCACCTGCCTCGGCCTCCCAAAGTTCTGGGATTACAGGCGTGAGCCACTGCGCCCAGCCCCCAAATTTTTGATGTTATCCACATTTTTAGTTTTAGCTAATGTGATGGGGTGGGGGGGCGGGTGGAATCTCATTGTTCCATTAAAAAAAATGTTTATTCAGGCTTTGTCCTTTGATTCTAGTCCACTTTTGTCTTTCCAGAAGATCAAAGTTTATTGAGTGCTGGTTCTGCCTCTTATTGGTCTCCTGACCTCAGCTGGGTACTCATCTGTGAAATGAAGCCCTTTAATCCCTGCCCGCCCCTGCCCCCCACTAGGCTGCTGTATTTTTTGCATGGGAAAACATTCCTGAAAGTTCATTTTATGCTGAAAAGCTCTGCAAACATGAAGAGGCATGGTTTTTACTAGCGAAATGGAAATATCTGGAACATTTGAGTGAATTCAGGTGTTTCTAAACAGCCAGCATATCCAGGGGAGGAGCTGGGGTGACTTTGCCCTTGTGCAGTGGAGCTGGCCTTAGGTGGGAGGTGTCTGCCTATTGTCCCAGAGATGCACGGGGCCTTACCTGGCTGAGAGCCATCTGGCTGGGCTTGAGAGCTCTTCTCAGAGGGCTGGCTTAGTCAATGATCTGTCACCTGTCTGCAGGAATAAAGAAATGAGCCAGGAGGACAGAGAGAGTTCCGTAGCTGGTCCAGAGAAAGGCCCAGAAAGGGGCAGTGGCCACCACAGACTAAACCCTGTTTACTTGCCTGTGTGGTCCCAGGAGGCATCGGGCCCCATGATAGAGGAGCCAGGGAACTGCTGACCATGGCCTGGGCCCCAGAGGAATTCATTACTGCTGGGTACCTGGGGACGTTTTGGCCAGGCTCTCCCCACCCTTCAGGAAGCAACATCCAGGTTTGGCCATGACTCCCCTGCTGCCCTGGAGATGACTCAGAACCAAGCTTCAGAGGAGGCTCCTGTGATCCCAGCCAGCCTGACCTACTTGGAACAATCTCAGGGACAGATGTAGGTAGGGGGAAGGGAGAGGGTAACCAAGGGGACAATGGGACCCTCAAAGGGCTTTGGTAGGGAGGGCTTCTGCCTTTATACCTCTGCAGCTAGTGAGCAGGAGAAGGGAAAGGGGAGGGGCCTCGCTGAAAGCAGTTTTTGCGTTTATTAGACACCTCCTGATTCTGAGAGTTGGGTGTTTCATTAAGAGAGTAAGGGAAGCATCTCACTCTAGAGCTGGTTTTGCATGGGTCCTCCTGGGGCGGGGGGGTGGGTCGGCTGCCTTTGCTGGGCTCCTGTCCCACTGCCATTGTGAGCGCAGCTTGAAGGCATTTCGCTGAGTTGGAGTGAGGTCGAATCACCAGGTTTCTTTTCAGGCATCAACTGGTATATCTGTGTTGCAGGAAGTTGCAGTTGCTATTTTTACCACTCCAACCAGGACTTTTTACTGGGAGGTACAATTACAAGCAAAATGCCAGGGTTTGGCTGGTTAGCTAAGCCGTGGGAGGCTGCTGCGGGCTGAGGCAGGGGCCACTGCACATGGTCCTTTGCTGTGTTGTACAAAGCAAGACACGTTTGCATGTGGACACACACCTACCCTGGTTGCTGGGTGGCTTTGTCTGAACCACTTCCTGTGCCTGGAGTTTCCTCTAGGTGGAAAAAAAAAAAAAGGACTTTGCTGGGTTTTGCTCAGATAATTGTACCTGGCTGCCAGGGCAGCTCCAAAGCTGTAAGCAATGTAGTTCTGACTGCCCAGAAGGTTGAAACTTTGTTAAATGAAATTGAGAACCTGCTCTATACTACCCACTCTGCTAAGGACCAGGATATAGGAATACATCAGTTGGCCGGGCGTGGTGGCTCATGCCTGTAATCCCAGCACTTTGGGAGGCTGAGGCAGGCAGATCACGAGGTCAGGAGATCGAGACCATCCTGGCTAACATTGTGAAACCTCGTCTCTACTAAAAATACAAAACATTAGCCGGACGTCGTGGTGGGCGCCTGTAGTTCCAGCTACTCAGGAGGCTGAGGCAGGAGAATGGTGTGAACCCGGGAGGCGGAGCTGGCAGTGAGCCGAGATCACACCACTGCACTCCAACCTGGGTGACAGAGAGAGACACTGTCTCAGAAAAAAAAAAAAAAAGAAAAAAGAAATACATCAGTCTCTGCTCTCTAGCATCACATGTCCAGGAATTGAAAATGCAGAAAGCGTGAGTTGTCTTCTGCTCCTTTTGGATAATTACCTGGTGTGTTTTTAATGTCTATACATTATGACTAGAGGCCAGGTGGGGCTTATATTGGTTTCTGTTACAGCATAACACATCATCACAGGCTTAGTGGCTTAATCAGTTCCTATTGATTAATGCACAGTTCTGTAGGCTGGAAGTCTGGGCTGGCCTGACTGGGTTCTCTACTTAGGGTCTCACAAGTCCAAAATCAAGGTGCAGCTGTACTGGGCTCTTGAGGCTCTGGTGAAGAATCTGCTTCCAGGCTCAGGTTTTTGGCAGAATCGAGTTCCTTATGGTCGTAGGACTGAGGTCAGTCCCCATTTCCTTGCTGGCTGCAGCCGGGTTCTAGTCTCAATGCCCTCCATCTTCAAACCTGCAGTGATGTGTCACATCCTTTCTTGCTTTGAATCTCCGACTCTTTTACTTTTGGGACCAGCTGGAGAAAACTCTGCTTTTTTTTTTATTTTTTTATTTTTTTTGAGATGGAGTTTCGCTGTTGTTGCCTGGGCTGAGTGCAGTAGAGCAACGTCAGCTCACTGCAACCTCTGCCTCCCAGGTTCAAGCAATTCTTCTGCCTCAGCCTCCTGAGTAGCTGGGATTACAGGTGTGTGCCACCAAGCCTGGCTAATTTTTTATATTTTTAGTAGATACCGGGGTTTCATCATGTTGGCCAGGCTGGTCTCGAACTCCTGACCTCCGGTGATCCGCCTGCCTTGGCCTCCCAAAGTGCAGGGATTACAGGCATGAGCCACCGTGCCCAGCCAACTCTGCTTTTAAGGGGCTTATTGACTAGATCAGGCTCACCCAGATAATCTCCCTTCTTTAAGGTCAACCAATTGATCAGTAACACCATTAATTACCTATGTAGCACACATTAATTAGATTTGAAAATCTCTGTCATGATCACAGGAATCAGGTCGACATCCATGGACCTGCATCAATAACAATATGATTAATAACAGCAGCTGTCATGAATCAAGCAAAATTTGTGTCCCACCATGCTACACTCTTTACGTGTATTCTCTCTTAATTCTGAGGATGGTACCTCGAGGTCAGGACAGTTATTGTCACCCCTGTTTTTCAGATGAGAAAACTGAGTCTCAGAGAATTTCAGTATCTTGGACCAGTTTTACAGGTAGCAATGGCAGTGCTGGGATTTGAAACCAGGGACTCTTAGCATCTAACCTTCCTGGTAGGCTGCCCAAGGTCGGTATCTGCAATTCGCTTTGTATGATTTATGGAACACCATCCAGAAAAGAGTTAAGGTTTGCTTTTTCCCATCTAGCATTTAAAATTCTTTTTTTTTTTTTTTTTTATTGAGGTGGAGTCTTGCTCTGTCACCCAGGCTGGAGTGCAGTGGTGCGATCTCAGCTCACTGCAAGCTGCACCTCCTGGGTTCAAGCGATAGTCCTGTCTCAGCCTCCTGAGTAGCTGGGATTACAGATGCCTGCCACCAAGCCTGTCTAATTTTTCTATTTTTAGTAGAGAGGGGGTTTCACCATGTTGACCAGGCTAGTCTTGAATTCCTGACCTCAGGTGATCCGCCCACCTCAGCCTCCCAAAGTGCTGTGATTATAGGCATGAACCATCACTCCTGGCCTAAGATGTTTAAATATGGCTGGGCACAGTGGCTCATGCCTGTAATCCCAGCACTTTGGGAGGCCAAGGCAGGTGGATCACCTGAGGTCAGGAGTTCGAGACCAGCCTGGCCAACATGGCAAAACCTCATCTCTACCAAAAAAAAAAATACAAAAATTAGCCAGCCGTGGTAATCCCAGCTACTTGGGAGGCTGAAGCAGGAGAATAGCTTGAACCCAGGAGCTGGAGGATTGCAGTGAGCCGAGGTCGCATTGCTGCACTCCAGCTTGGGCGATAGAGTGAGACTATGTCTCAAAATAAATAATAAATAAAATGTTTAAATATGGTATATGTTGATTATATTGCATATAATACGGCAGGTACCAGGCAGGCACCAGGGAACTCTCAGGTGGGTCTAACAGATCTCTGGATCATTTTGATTCTTTCTCCCGTGGGTATTGTGGCTAATCCCCATTTCATTCAGCAGTATTTATTAAGCATCTAATCGATTCTAGGTAGCAAAGATGACACAGAACAATGTCCTTGAGCTGCCAGTACAGAGAAGGGCACAATACGCAGTGACCTGAGGAGTGAACAGTGCTGTCCAGCAGTAGAAGAAAGGCTACCGTGCTGCAGCAAAGGCACAGAGGGCAGAAGAACGTTCATTCTAGGAGACAAGACAAAATTATGTTATTTACTGCATGCCATATGCCCTGTGTGTCGCATGGGGCACCACATTGTAGGTGCTCAGATTTCAGTGTACTTACTGCATTCATTTTCTGAGCATGTACTGTGGACAAGGCCATCCACATACCCGACAAATGTAAAATCCAGAGTGGGGTGTAGCTATGAAAGGAGAGATTGGGGAGGTGAGGGTGTGGGGCTGAGCAGGGAGAATGAGAGGAAGGGAGGGGGAGAGCTAAAGCCGAGAGAGGGAGGAAGAGGGGCTGGGGGTGGGACAAAGCTGGAAAGGGAACCGATTGAACACAGCTTGGATGTGAAAGCCTCCTTGAAGGCTTTTGAGCAGGAGCGCTCACAATTTGGCACTGGGTTGGTAGGTGTGGGAAGAAAGGGTTCAGGGGCCTGACCATAACCTGGCCTGCAGTGGTGACGCAAGACTGGGAAGGAAAACCCCAATGCAAGGTCCCAGGAAGGATGATGCAGTGGAACTTGGTGGCTAAACCATATGCTAAAAATGTGTATATGAATGACTGGCTATTTATGGGCACCCATGTTTTTGCTATAAATAAACGTACATATGTAATTTCAAGAGACCGAGAATTATCAACTGCAAAGCCCAAGTGTAGCAGTCTACTCACGGCCCCTGTACTTTGCTACTGGAGGGCCTGTCCTCTGCAAACCCAAGGTCTTTTTTTTTTTGGAGAAGGATGAGGTGGTCCTGTGGGTGAGAGAAGGCTTTTGATAATGAAGGGAGGAGCAGGCAGGGCCAGGTCATTAGAGGGAGGCAGCCAGCAGTGGGTGAGAGGGTACTGGGTCCAGCTGCCTCCGGTGACAGCAGGCTCTAGTGCATCACAGTACAAACGGGATGGAGACCCCCTGCATAGGCCCCCATGCTTCCTACAGAATTTTCTTTTTCTTAGTTCTTAAAAAAAACAGTGGTTAGTGTGGAAGATAAGAAAAATCTTCTGGCCAGGCGCGGTGGCTCACATCTGTAATCCCAACACTTTGGGAGGCCGAGGCAGGTGGATTACTGGAGATTAGGAGTTCAGGACCAGCCTGGCCAACATGGTGAAACCCCGTCTCTACTAAAAATAGAAAAAATTAGCCGGCATGGTGGCATGTACCTATAATCCCAGCTACTTGGGAGGCTGAGGCAGGAGAATTGCTTGAACCCAGGAGGTGGAGGTTGCAGTGAGCCGACATCACACCATTGCTGCACTCCAGCCTGGGCAAAAAGAACGAAACTTTGTCTCAAAAAACAAAAAAAGAAAAATCCGCTACCGCAATGTTCTCAAAGTGTGGTCTGGGTGTCCCTGAGATTCTCTTGGTGGAGAGTCCACAAGGTCAAAACTATTTTTGTGGTAATACTAAAACATTATTTGCCCTTTTCACTCATTCTCTCCAGAGTGCATAACTCAGTGAACCGATGTTTTCCAAATGGCCGATGCCTGATGTTACAGAATCACACATGGGTAAACAATCCATTCAAAGTGCAGGACAGGCTGTCAGATGGGAATGCCACTGAGTACAAAAGTTCATTGATACGGGCTGGGATACGGGCTCCTGAGTAGCTGGGATTACAGGTGCCCGCCACCACCATGTTGGCCAGGCTGGTCTGGAACTCCTGACCTCAGGTGATCCACCTACCTTGGCCTCCCAAAGTAGTACTAGGATTACAAGCATGAGCCACTGCGCCCGGCCCCTTTGGTTTTTTTTAGATAGCTGTGTGGAACTCCACTCTGTGCGTGTACCCAGGTTTATCTCACCAGGCCTCTTATTCGTGAACATTGTAGTTGTTCGCAGCCCCTCCTTTTGTAACCATGCTGCGGTGTGTAACCATTTTGTAACCATGTGCAGGCATGATGGAAGGGAAATTTTTAGGAGTGGAAATGCTGGGGCAGAGGGCACATGCATTTGTCATTTTGTAAGATGTTTCCCAATTGTTGTCTGAAGAGATTGTGCCAACTATGCTCCCCTTGCTCTCATCTCTGTCAGCGGGTAAAGAAAGAGTTGTGTCTTGGGCTTTGGGAATTGAGAGGCATTCTCATTCTGATTCAGCATCAGCGTTGACAGCCTAGAGAAGAACAGAGCTTCTGGAGAACAGGGAGAAAGAAATTCACTACCAGTAAGTGGCCAGTGCTTGGCATTTGTTCTTTTTTTGTTCTGTTCTGCATGTTTGTGTTCCTCCAAGACTGTCACTCCTGGTGGTTCATTGAAAGTGATATCTAGGCCAGAGTGCTTTTAATGGCTCCATCTGTGGGACCAGACAGGAAGAGAGACAGCCTCCCTCCAGGTCCTCAGACTGCATCTGTTTGCAAAGGGCCAGGCCAGTCCTGCCATAGAGGGGGAATCCTCCTCAGGAGGCCACGTTTGCTTTGGAGGGAGCCAATCTCGCTGCCCCTCTTTGTTTCTGTCTCTGGCTTGCTCTGGATAAGTGGAAGGAAACGAGTTACTTCACCAGATGGGTGAACCTGAGTGCTGAGTTCTTTGTCCCCTCTGTGGTGACAGCAGTGGAGTCCACTTTATTGGCATTACTCCCGTCTGGTGCAGCAGCTGGGCTTGCAGATGACTCCCAGCTCTGGGGTCCAGAGAAAGCCTGGGCAGCACCCCCAACCTGAGGGGGTTGGCATGTGGCAGGTAGAAGCCAGGCGGCACCTTCCATCTGCCTTGACAGTTTAGAGGGGCTGCCACCCCTCCTTGAGCTGAAAGAAGCCTCTTCGTTGCAGGGTGGTTTAAGTGTGGCTTGCGGGTGGCCTACCTGGTAAATAGAACTTTTAGGACGGTATGACATAAAAACATTTTTTCTCAAAAGGATTTATCTCAAGAGAATACAGTGAACCAACAGAAGCAAAAGGCATTAGTTTTTCCTTGCATAAAAATTCAGAAAATTATGGGTGAATGGATTTGTAAACCATAGTGATGTGTTTCCACAGACATTACAATTTACAGTTGACAACCACAAAGACACTAGACTAAGGTTCCTGAGGGCTCCAGAAGGCTGGGTCCCCAGTGCCTGCACTTGGCAGGCCTTTAATCAGTCTTTGTTCAGTAGTGAGGGCAGAATAGGAAAATGGCAACTCTGTGAAAAGTTGAGGTAAAACCAGTGTAAAATAGTATTCTGTAACTGCAATAATTTAAAAGTGTTTGTTTTGGGATAAAAGCTGAAAATAATAAGCCATAGTGAAAATAGTAGTTGTGTTTGCAGTGTTTCTCAATCTTGTTGGCACCTCCCTACCCCTAAGCCATTTTAGATGTTTTTTCCTAATTGCACCCACCCTCCTCATTGCATTTTAATACCACATGTGTATCTATGCCTTATACATACGATGAAGAAGAGTTTTTCATTCCCCAAGAACTAAGCTGTGTGTCCCCATCCACTGCCTCCTCCCTGCTCACTTTGGTCAGGCAGTGTGGTTCTAGGGCATTAGTGTCTTTTCTGTCTTGCTCCTCACTGTTAATGTCAGTAAAAGACAACACAGTGGAGCTCCTGGGTGTGGCTTTTGGCCTCTCTCACTTGGTCTGTAGAGCTCCCACTCAAAAAGACAGGACGCTGGGCAGAAAGGCAGGTGCTGCCCATCCATGGCTGCATCTATCTGCACCTGCCCCGGGCTGGATGTGTGGCCTGAACAGTTCCTCCCATGGGAGGGTTCGGCTGGCTTCTCTTCTTAGCAAGATGGCTTCTCTTTAAAAAAAAAAAAAAAAAAATTGTTGGTGAGGAGCTGGCCAAATCCATACGTTGCCTTTGAGTAGCTGGGCAAGTCCTGGATAGGTCCTTTCTCTAAGGTGAACTTTCTCAGTCCTGATTCCCTATCTGATCACAGAGGCTGCTCCCTACTAGGACCAGTGACCCATAGGAGAGAAGTGGGTACCATGGGGCCTGGGAGCTTAATCCTCTTCGGGATCCCTCTGTCCTGGTTGCACAGAAGCTGGTGGAGAAGGACTGCTTAAGGGGTAGACGGAGAGGACAGTGTCCTGGTGCTGGGACCTGCTGGTGGACACAGGGCTGAGGCCCCACAGACCTCTCTTCTGTCCCCTTTGGTGCTCAGCAAAGAGAGGGATGGCCTGGATTTGAACGCCGCCCCTTCCCCAGTCTTGGGTCAGTGAGCTCACATAGTGTAGTTGTGGGAACAGACTCAGCAAGACAGAGCCCTGGGCTCTGCCCCCACTCCTTGCGTAGCTTTGGGCAAATTGCCTAACACCTCCCTGCCCAGTTTCCTAAGCTGTGAAATGCAGACGATGGTTATACCTAAGGCTGAGTAGGGATGAGGTGAGTTAACACGTGAAGTGCTGAGACGGTGCCCAGCATATGATACTAAGCAACTGTGATTAGCACTGTTGTTGCCATTATCATTAACCTGCAAGCTTCTATTTTCTTATCGGTAAATTTTTTACAGAAATAGTGTGGCATATGGCAGGATTGGACTTTCTGGCTCTCTGGTGGGTGAGTGAAGGCGTGTAGCTGGATTTGGCCAGTGAGATGTGAATAGAAGTGCTGTGTGTCTTTCCAGGCCAAGCATTTAATTGTCAGTGCTATGCTTTCCAGAGCTCTCTCTCCGCCCTTTGGCATAGTGACTGGTGACATGGTGGCAGCTCTGTCATCTGGGTTCCTAGGAGTGGGATTGATGAGAACACTCATTACCGCCTGAACCATGATGCATGTATTAATAGTATGAGCAAGAAATAAAATCTTTCTCCTGTACAGCTGCTGCGATTTGGGGGTTGTTCCTTGCTGCGGCAGAACCTCATCCGTCCTGATTAAGACAGAAAGTCATAACCATGTTGAGCTTGGTTGTGAGGATTAAATTTTGTATGTAAAATGCCTAGCACAGTATCAGGTACATGATAGTCGTGCATTTGATTTGGCTCCCTTCCTGGCCAGAATCCCCTGCTGATTTTTAGCAGCACGTGTTGCTTCATCTTTCAGCAGAGTTTCACAGGCCTTGACCCCTTACCTCCTGTTCTGTGCCTTCTTTGTGAAGAAGAGCTTCACCAAACTGGGTAGGGCCCAGCGTGGTGCACCGCCTGACCCGTTCCTCTGGAGTGGAGAAGGCGTCCCTCTCAACTTGTAATCACAGCTCCCACTCCCTGGTGACCAGAGGCTGCAGTCACCCTGGGACTCTGCGGTCAATCCTGGAAGTTAAAGTGGCTGCCCTTCAAGTGTGCTTAATGTTTGGGTGCGTTACGTGAAAAGGCTGGAGCATGTGGAGAAGGCACTGAAACATCGGCCGGCCCTCTGGGTCTGTCGGGACCTCCCTTCGCTTTCCAGGCTTTGGCTGCAGGCTGACGGGTAGGGCCATGTGTAGAGTAATCCTCTGATTCATTGTCCACAAGGGACACTGTGTCTGTGTCTGGGTGGGGAAGGAGACACAATTTGAGAGCATTGGTTGGTGGCACTGTTGATCTTGACCTCAGGAAAGCAGGTGAAGCCAGGTGGTCTCACTGTATGCACTGTCAGAGGCTGCGGAAGGGCTGTGGTTCTGTGCTATTGGGGTGAGCATTGGCTGGGAGCTATTTGATGCAGGGACCTCATGGGATTGCCTGAAGGGGAAGCCCGTTTATTACCAAGCATTGTCTGAAGCAGACATTCTCAGCCCTTCCCTGATCCTTGCTCCATTCTAGAACTGCCCCATGGGCAGCCCATTCCTGTGCAGGAGGCATGGGGGCCAAAGTGAGGCAAGGAAGCTGGGGTGAGGCTGAGGGCTGGGAGGTTTAAGTACTGCCCAGCAAACTGTCCACCTGAGACCAGAAGGTGCCATTTCACAATTCTTGTGGCTTCACTGCAAGTGTCAGATCTGTTATTTATTTATTTATTTATTTATTTTTTTTGAGATGGAGTCTTGCTGTGTCCCCCAGGCTGGAGTGCGATGGTGGCATCTCGGCTCACTGCAACCTCCGCCTCCTGAGTTCAGGCCATTCTCCTGCCTCAGCCTCCCGAGTAGCTGGGACTATAGGCACCCGCCACCACACCCAGCTAATTTTTTGTATTTTTAGTAGAGGCAGGGTTTCACTGTGTTAGCCAGGATGGTCTCGATCTCCTGACCTCATGATCCGCCCACCTCAGCCTCCCAAAGTGCTGGTATTACAGGCGTGAGCCACCGTGCCCGGCCTCAGATCTTTTCACAATAAAAAGATGAAACAAAACCAAACTAAATAAATATGCACATTGAAAAATATAATTCAGATCAGTTACAGTTTAAATAACAAGATCTATACAATATTGAATAAATATGCATAAAGGTTTTTTTTGCTATTGATTGATTGATTGAGACGGAGCCTCTCTGTCGCCCAGGCTGGAGTGCAGTGGCACGATCTTGGCTCACTGCAACCTTCACCTCCCAGGTTTGAGCAGTTCTCCTGCCTCAGCCTCCCAAGTAGCTGGGACTACAGGTGCGTGCCACCATGCCCAGCTAATTTTTATACTTTTAGTAGAGATGGGGTTTCACCATATTGGCCAGGCTGGTCTCCAACTCCTGACCTCAGGTGATCTGCCCGCTTCAGCCTCCCAAAATGCTGGGATTACAGGCGTGAACCACTGTGCCCTGCCTGCATTTCTTTCTTTCTTTCTTTTTTTTTTTTTTGAGACAGAGTCTCGCTCTGTCGCCCAGGCTGGAGTGCAGTGGCGTGATCTCGGCCCACTGCAACCTCCATTTGCTGGGTTCAAGCAGTTCTCATGCTATAACCTCCCGAGTAGCTGGGACTACAGGCACACGCCAACATGCCCGGGTAATTTTTTGTATTTTTAGTAGAGACGGGGTTTCACCATGTTGGCCAGGCTGGTCTCGAACTCCACACCTTGTGATCTGCCCACCTCAGCCTCCCAAAGTGCTGGGATTGCAGGTGTGAGCCACCACGCCTGGCCGCTTTTTTTTTTTTTTTTTTTTTTTTTAAACGAGCCATTGAAAGGCAGCAGCCTGGCTGGGCGCCCTCACACATGGTTGCTGCCCCCACAGCCTCTGCAACCCAGGCAGGGGACCTCAGGCCGGGTGGCTGGTGCATCCTACCTGGCTTGTGCTGCCAGCCCTCAGGAGGGGACAGGAGAGCAAGGAGTTCATCTTTCCATCTCCTTTCCTGCCACTGCTTGCTGAACACCTCCGCCTTCCTGAGGAATTAGCAGCTCAAAGTCTGCAGTCAGGCCCAAGTTCCAAGAATGTGGCGTTGAGTCTGTTTCCTTATCAATAAAACGGGAATGATGGAACTCCTGGCAAAGGGACATGCTGAGGTCCTTGCGGCTGTGTGTTTTCATGAAGTCATTGTTGGTGGAATCCTGACTCCGATGCACCCAGTGCATACTTGGTGCCAGGAAGGGCCGTGTCTTGGGTTTCTGTCAGCGTCAGCTCCTGCAGGGTGGCCGTGAATCACTGTGCAGGTTGTTCACTGCATAAGGGCACCCAACCTCATGCAGCCTGAATTTCAGCTGCATTTTCCTCTCTAAGTCTTGTGCTTGGGTCCAGAGCCACATCTGTCAAAAAGCCCAAAAGCCAGGTTTGGCTTTTCCGAGTTTCCAAAGGTGCTTTCCTGCTAACCCAGAGACTGGTACACTGCAGGTACACTGGCAAACCTAAAATAATCGCCCTGGCCGGGCGCAGTGGCTCATGCCTGTAATCCCAGCACTTTGGGAGGCTAAGACGGGCAGATCACCTGAGGTCAGGAGTTCAAGACCAGCCTGGCCAACATGGTGAAACCTCGTCTCTAGTAAAAATACAAAAATTAGCCGGGTGTGGTGGCGGGCGCCTGTAATCCCAGCTACTCGGGAGGCTGAGGCAGGAGAATTGCTTGAACCTGGGAGTCGGAGGTTGCAGTGAGCTGAGATCGCGCCATTGCACTCCAGCCTGGGAGACAGAGCAAGACTCCGTCTCAAAAAAAAAAAAAAGAAAAGAAAAAAAGAATCGCACTGCGGGAGTGGGGAGGGGTTTTCATTTTGTACCAGGGGGCCATACGGATTGGCTTGGCCCTGAGCTCCAGAGATAATTTGAGCTGTTCATGCCTGGGTACTACGCAGGCTGAGCGCTGTGCCTCTCTCGTTTCCCCATCCTGTAGTGAAGAATGATGGAGCTGACACCCTCGTTTTGAGCCTTGCTAACTCTTGGTTAGTGGAGGCGGGTGGGAAGGGGTTAGTGCTGTAGCCATACTAAGTCAGGCCTTCCTGAGACTGGCACGGAAAAAGCAGCTTTGATGGCATCCGGGTTCCTATTTCTCTCAGGATAGGCCTTTCGCTTTCGGTCACTGGAATCTTCTGTGAGTGTGGCAAGTTTTCTTCAGAAAGTCTCACCCCTTGGCTAGTTTGTTTCTTTGTGCATTTAACTTTCCAAAGATGTGCTGGAGAAGGATGCTGGGCACATTGTTACCCGGTACATTTTAGCTGAGTCTGTAGGTGAGGATTGCCTGGGGAGCAGCGATGTCCAAGGTGGATCCACCCCTCGTAGCAGGATGAAGAGTTGCTGATCTGTGGCATTGCAACATTGTGCAGTTACGCTATGTGCCTTAAATCCATCAAAGCTCAGGACGACGCTTAGGTCATGAGAACAATTCTGTGATATGTGCAGAGCGAGAGTGTCTGATTGATTATGGCTCCAAAGACGTGAGCCATGGGCACAGGGAGGCTTCCCGGGGCCTGCTTTTGGGCCCTCTCACATGCTCCCCACCCCCCGCCGCTGGGAGCCTCTGGCTTGGGCTGCTTTTGCATCCCCAGGCCCTGCTATGAGGCTGGGTATGTCACTGGTACTGAACACATATATCTTGAGCAACTGAAAATAATCACACACAACCATTCTTCTGGTTGCTAGATGGAAGGGGTGGAGGGACACATAGCTAAGACCCCTTACCGAGACAAGCAGCCCCTGGTCACCAATTCAGGGCACTGATGACCCTGTGAGTCCTTAAGTGACAGGCCTCAGCAAAAGGGGGCGGACCAGAGGACCACAGGGCTCCACTTGGCCCTCTGCGCAGGCTTCCATCTTGGGTAGGTGGCAACACGGCTGTCACCCCTTCCCACTCCCAGCCCTGGTCCAGTCCGGTCAGCAGTCCTAGGGAAAGGGCCTGCTTCGTTCCTCAAAGTTCCAGTGAACATCTTAGTATAGAGTCCCACTGGTCTGTCCTGGGTGTAGGCCCCATCACAGCAGTTCGGAGGATGACACTAGCTCATCAGCCAGGCCTGGCACGTGTCCACTCCCCACCTGATCCCCAGGGCCCAGTGATGTGCAGCACCTGGGGCCCAGTGCCCACCCCGGGATGCCACCCGCTGAGCTGCCTGGAGGCAGGTGGTTCCCAGAGAACAGTCAGGGTGTGAGTGCGAGGAGGAGGCGGCATTGTGCTGGTGTGAGTAAAATGACACGCGTTTACCACATGTCAGGTGTCGCAGCCGCCTGGGCAGCATTCACCACTGCCTCGGCCTTCCTCTCCTCTGGGTCTTGACAGTGGCTGGGCTGGCAGTCATGGTGGAGTTGATATGAATGAGTTTCGTGTGCTGTGTCTCAGGGCTTCATCATGGGCATAGGAAGAGATGGACAGGTCCATGCCATCAAGTCAAGTGACCTCTGTGCCGGGATCTGTCCTGGGTGTTGAGGTCACATCAGTGAGCCCCACACATGGTCCCTGCCTTTCTGGGCCTCCTGTGCAGTTTGGGAGACAGTACACAAATAACATGCCCAGAAGCTGTGTGGGCCTCAGCATCCTTGCCTGTAAAGTGGGGCTCCAGTGCCTCACTTGGGATCAGGCTGAGTCGGTGAGTGAGTGGCTGCCATCAGTGGAAGATTGGCTCAGGGGCAGGCGCTGCCCAGAAGGAGATGGGACAAACCGGGGAAACAACTAGGCAGGTGCTTCCGCCCTTGGCACAGAGGTGCCCCAGGCTGGCGGCTGTCTAGGGGGTGGGAACCTGCCTGGGCGTGTACATGAGTTGCCAGCATCTGCATCAGCAGGCAGGCATTCTTGGTGCCGACTTTGGCAGGGTATCTGTCAGCTCTGGGACCCTGGGTTGCCGCTCACTGTTGGCTTGGAGAGGTCACTGCTCTGCCTCCTTCTCTGGACCATTGTGGCTGCCCTGTTTCAATTTGCCCTGCTTTTTGGCTTTCTCGGTCTTTTGAGTCTTGCTTTGTCCTGCCCATAACCCCCTCCAAAGGGAGTCTCTGCCTGGGTACTCTCGCAGGCAGCCCAGTTAACACAGTGCCCCAGAGTGGAGTTAGTTCTAGGTGTGTTGGTTCCAGGGCCGTAGTTACTAAGGTGAGGAGCTGGGATTCCAGCTGGGGCTGTCTGTAAGAAGAATCCCAGAGGGGCTCACCCCACACTTGGAGTGTCCAAGCCCAGGCATTCAAGCTGCCGTTCAGCCCAAGCTCAGAACCAGCCTCCCCTCTGGCAGGGCCAGGGTGGGGCAGGGGGCAGGTGCGATGAGGTGCCTAGGGACCTAGAGCAGGGAGGTCCTTGGAAGCACAAGTGTGTTGACAATGGAACTGAAGCCAAACCTCAGCATCAGGGCCCTTGAACGTGACCTCAGTGGAGAGGGCATGGGCTTAGGAGTCCCAGGGCTCGAACTAGAATTCTTCCTGGTCCTTGGCTCTCCACGTTTCCCCCAGCACGGTCTGCAGACCAGAGGCAACAAATGCCTCTTAAAATGTCCTGACACTGTGGGGTGGGGCAGGAGGGGACAGAGCCACATTTGGGAAATTGTCTGATCACCAAGGGGGTGGTCTGGAGTGAGGAAACTGGAGTGAGAGTTTAGCAATCACAGCAAGATTTGGGGAAATGTCGCAGGGTCTG
Organism: Homo sapiens; assembly: GCF_000001405.40. Lineage (NCBI taxonomy): Eukaryota > Metazoa > Chordata > Mammalia > Primates > Hominidae > Homo > Homo sapiens. The sequence continues at coordinate 85,772,001 of NC_000015.10, read as the reverse complement.
GAATTCAGATTAGGCAATTCCGATCAGTCACGGGCCAGGCTGTTGGCAAAGCTTCCCTCAGACCCGGTCAGCGCAGTCTCTCAGGCTCCGTGCCACTGCATCTGAGGGCCCAGCTTCGAGGATGTGCTCAGGAAATAGTTGCCAACAAGTGAGTTGTGGAGGCCTGAGTAGGATGGGGATCTCACTTTACAAGAAAATAATAGTGAGGTACAGGATGGAGGTGGAGCCAGGATACAGCCTGGATCTGCGTCCAGTGCTCTCACCCCAACCCCCAGAAGGGCTAACCTCATATAGCCTCGGAGCCCTGTGGACTGTGGGCTGCAGGTTTGGACAGCAGTGTCTTAGGCAGGTCCTCGGTGTACAGTCTACCTGGAGCTTGGGGGTCCAAGCAGCAAGGCCAGTCTGGCCCTGTGCCCTCTCTGCCTAAGCCCAAAAGCAGGGACCTTGCTAGCTCTAATCTCGTCAGTTTGTGGCTTCTCTGCCTCTTTTCCAGAGGAGGAGTGAGCAAGAGAGAGCCATGTAGCCGGACACTCATTTACAATTTCACTGAAGCATGAAATCGTTTCCTACCTTTACCAGATTATTACCTAAGTAGAAAATTGACTTGGAGTGGGAGGCGGCAGGAGAGTTACATACTTTTGAAAATTAAAAATGAAAAACTTTGTTGTTTAGGGTTTTTTGTTTTTCTTGGCCCCATTACCAGCAGGAAGACAGCAGCACAGGCTTTTAGGGGGTCAAGATACTGGAATGCAGTTTGCTTTTTGGCCATGTTTTCTTTTCTTTCTTTTTTTTTTTTTTTTCAGGCTTAATTCACTTTATTTTTCTTGTATAAAAACCCTGTTGTAGCCACAGCTGGAGCGTAGGTCCTCTGCATGGAGACTCTGGTGAGGGTCTTGACAAGGTGGTCAGTGAATTCCTGATCGGGAGACTTGGTGAATACAGTCTCCTTCCACAGGTCAGTGGGGCAGGTAGCTGTGGTCTTCGAGATGGCCTCAAGGGTGTTGGCCATGTTTTCTCTAGGTATATGAGTTTTGCCGCCTGTTGGCTGAGCCTTGAGTTCAAAGTACTGAACTGGGGCCTCGGGTCATGCCATTCACTGGACATTAATGACAGTGCTTTAGAATTCCCCTAGATTGAGCAAGTAGTGAACCTGTTTCTTGGCCATCACTCCATCACTCTGAGCGCCAGGTCCCCAGGCCTGGTGGAGAAGGGCAGGCAAGGGAGGCAGGGGAGGCGCTGCGTTGGCCCAGGATCCTGGCGTCAGCTGGGGGACCTGGGAAGCTCTGGCTTCGTGTTTCTCTGCTTTGCTGAGGCAAATCTGGATCACTTCCGTTAGGGTTCGGCATGTCCTGCTGTCATCTTGGGCCTCTGCGTTGGTCTCGAGGGTGAGTCACTGGCGGCCCCACCTCCAAGCCATCACTTGCCCCAGCTAGGTAAAGAGCCCTGTGGAGACACCTGGATTCAGAGAACATGTCTCCACTGAGCACTTGGGCCTTGATGGCGGCTCTTGTTCCAAGGCAAGGGGGATGTCTAGCCAGTACCGCTTGGAGCCCGGCCCAGGGCAGAGCCTGCTGGGAGCAGGGAAGTGGGTACGTGAGGCTCTGCTTGGGCGTCCACAGCAAACCCTGCAGGGATTAGTCACCTTGAACAGAGATCAGGCTCCAGAGCCGGACAGCCCATGTGAGAATCCTGGCTGTGGCAGTTTGGGTAGTTTCTTGGCCTCTCTGAGCTGTGGCTTCCCTAGCTCTAAAATGGGACTTACAAGAGAAGCTTCTGTAGAGGACTGTCATGAGAGTGGAATGTGGTCAAAGGCACCAGTTACTTAGCACTGCCCGGACACCAGCCTCAGTCAGGAACACCGTTTGCATGTTCTCTTAACCATGGGAGGCAGCCTCAACTGGAGCTTGCCTAGGGGGTGGCTCATCTGCAGGCCAGAGATGTTTGTCCCAGAGCTGGCTCATACCCTGAGAACAAAACCAGTTTCTGCAGGGCAGGGTGAGACCCAGCCACTCTTGCCTGTGTTGTCCTTGGCAACGTGGTTGCGGGAGAGGGGCTTGGTTTAGCAGAGGTGAGCAGAGAGTGGGTGGGAGGGGACAAGGGGGCTTGTGCTGAAGAGTGAGCCCTGAGAGGGCAGATGGGCAGGAGGGGCTCCTCTAACCTGTGGGCTTGTTCCCCCACAAGCTGACGCACCATGTCGGTCAGTGTCCATGAGACCCGCAAGTCGCGGAGCAGCACGGGGTCCATGAACGTCACCCTCTTCCACAAGGCCTCCCACCCGGACTGTGTGCTGGCCCACCTCAACACGCTTCGCAAGCACTGCATGTTCACCGACGTCACACTCTGGGCGGGCGACCGTGCCTTCCCCTGTCACCGTGCCGTGCTGGCCGCCTCTAGCCGCTATTTTGAGGCCATGTTCAGCCATGGCCTTCGGGAGAGCCGGGATGACACTGTCAACTTCCAGGACAACCTGCACCCGGAGGTGCTGGAGCTGCTGCTGGACTTTGCCTACTCCTCACGCATCGCCATCAACGAGGAGAACGCTGAGTCACTGCTGGAGGCAGGCGACATGCTGCAGTTCCACGATGTGCGGGATGCTGCCGCCGAGTTCCTGGAGAAGAACCTTTTCCCCTCCAACTGCCTGGGCATGATGCTGCTCTCGGACGCCCACCAGTGCCGCCGGCTGTATGAGTTCTCCTGGCGCATGTGCCTGGTGCACTTTGAGACGGTGAGGCAGAGCGAGGACTTCAACAGCCTGTCCAAGGACACACTGCTGGACCTCATCTCGAGTGATGAGCTGGAGACCGAGGACGAGCGGGTGGTCTTCGAGGCCATCCTCCAGTGGGTGAAGCACGACCTGGAGCCACGGAAGGTCCACTTGCCCGAGCTCCTCCGCAGCGTGCGTCTGGCCTTGCTGCCGTCCGACTGCCTGCAGGAGGCCGTCTCCAGCGAGGCCCTCCTCATGGCAGACGAGCGCACCAAGCTTATCATGGATGAGGCCCTGCGCTGCAAGACCAGGATCCTGCAGAATGATGGCGTGGTCACCAGCCCCTGTGCCCGGCCACGCAAGGCGGGCCACACGCTACTCATCCTGGGGGGCCAGACCTTCATGTGTGACAAGATCTACCAGGTGGACCACAAGGCCAAGGAGATCATCCCCAAGGCCGACCTGCCCAGCCCCCGGAAGGAGTTCAGCGCCTCAGCGATCGGCTGCAAGGTCTATGTGACGGGGGGCAGGGGCTCCGAGAACGGGGTCTCCAAGGATGTCTGGGTGTACGACACCGTACATGAGGAATGGTCCAAGGCGGCGCCCATGCTGATTGCCCGCTTTGGCCATGGCTCAGCTGAGCTGGAGAACTGCCTCTATGTGGTGGGGGGACACACATCCCTGGCAGGGGTCTTCCCGGCCTCGCCTTCTGTCTCCCTGAAACAAGTGGAGAAATACGACCCTGGGGCCAACAAGTGGATGATGGTGGCCCCCTTGCGGGATGGCGTCAGCAATGCCGCAGTGGTGAGTGCCAAGCTGAAGCTCTTTGTTTTCGGAGGAACCAGCATCCACCGGGACATGGTGTCCAAGGTCCAGTGCTATGACCCCTCGGAGAACAGGTGGACGATCAAGGCCGAGTGCCCCCAGCCTTGGCGGTACACAGCCGCTGCCGTCCTGGGCAGCCAGATCTTCATCATGGGAGGTGACACGGAATTCACAGCCGCCTCGGCCTACCGCTTTGACTGTGAGACCAACCAGTGGACGCGGATTGGGGACATGACTGCCAAGCGCATGTCCTGCCATGCCCTGGCTTCCGGCAACAAGCTCTATGTGGTCGGGGGCTACTTTGGGACCCAGAGGTGTAAGACTCTGGACTGCTATGACCCCACTTCAGATACATGGAACTGCATCACCACAGTGCCCTACTCACTTATCCCCACGGCCTTTGTCAGCACCTGGAAGCACCTGCCCGCGTGAGGAGCACCTGCTGAGCCCAGCCAGGTGAGTCCCTGGCAGCCCACGGCCACTCTGGGTCCGGAAAGGTCATGGGGGAATGCAGTCCCACCTCTTCCCACTGGGTGAAGGTCACCGTGTCTTCCAGGGAAGTCTGGGTGGGCAGCAGGTGGCTGGTGTGCTCTGGAGTCAAATCCTGGCTCTGCCTTCTATTTGCAGTTAACCTGGAGCAAATTATTGAACCAGTCTGCAAAATGGGGACAGTAACCATGGTTAGACCAACATGGTGGTTCCCAAACATGGTTATACTTCAGAATCACCCAGGGACCTTTTGACAGTGCTGTGTGGAGCATAGGTCAACCTGCAGAGTCTGAGGGTGCAGTCTCCACACAAGCCTGCTCTTACTTTTGACACCAGGTGCAACAAAGGGGGCCTCCCAAACCACCCTCGGTCAATTTTGCCAGAAAGACTTATAGAAGTCGCTGAAGGCTGTTATGCTCACAGTTACAGTTTATTATAGGGGAAAGATACAGATTAAGATAAGCCAAGGGAAGAGACATGTACTAAGGCAGAGTCCAGGAGAATGGCCCCCTCCCCATGGAGTCAGGACAGTGTTACTCTCCTGGCACTGATGAGTGATGATATGTATGAAGATTGCCAACCAGGCCCGGGCATGGTGGCTCATGCCTATAATCCCAGCACTTTAGGAGGGCTGAGGTGGGCAGATGGCTTGAGCCCAATTCAAGACCAGCCTGGGCAATGTGAAAGTCAGTCCTGGCCGGGCACAGTGGCTCATGCCTGTAACCCCAGCACTTTGAGAGGCCGAGGTGGGCAGATCATGAGGTCAGGAGATCGAGACCATCCTGGCTAACAAGTGAAACCCCATCCCTACTAAAAATACAAAAAATGAGCCAGGCATGGTGGTGCACACCTGTAATCCCAGCTACTTGGGAGGCTGAGGTAGGAGGATCACTTGAACCTGGGAGACAGAGGCTGCAGTGAGCCAAGATCATGCCGCTGTACTCCAGCCTGGGCAACAGTGAGACTCCGTCTCAAAAAAAAAAAAAAAATGATCGCCAACCAGGCATGACATCCATGTCTAAATGGTGGAGTCCTCCAAAAAACTGTTAACTGTAAACACCAAAGCCTGCATGGTGGGAACAGACAGCCTTGGTTTGAGTCCTGTTTCTCCTGGGGGCAGCTGTGTGCTCACCAGCATGCAAGGGATGGGGAGAAGTCCTTCCTCGAAGCCGGCAGGCGTCTAGCTTAAGCGAGGTCATCCTTGAGGGCCTTGGAGCAGGGCTTCCTGCAGAGCGAGTGTCTGTGGGTTGCTGCCACACTGTCATTGTGTGGAATCGCTATGAAAACAGGTGACACGGAAGGCACTCTGTGGGAGGTGATGGTGGGACAGAGACACTGGGAGCAGTTTGAGCCAGGCCCTGCAGACCCTGCAGTGAAGGGAAGGAACGGGCGGGAGGAGTGTCTCATCTGGTGCTGGTTTAATCTCCTGAGAAGCTGAGCTGGGGGCGGGGTCTTCCCGCAGCAAATAGGGGCAGGATCGGCATGAGGTCCTGCCACGAGAGAGGGTATCCCGGCCAGCCTGGCAGGGTACTGGGGTAGATGCCAGAGAAGGGCTTTGTGCCCAACACACCCTCTGTGTTTAGGGCCTGGGAAAGGCCAGGGTGCGTGCCACTAGCCCTTGGCCATTCTCCCGGCTCATGCTGTCCTGGGCCCCTCACCCCTGCAATAGGGGCATAAGATCCCTGGGTGCACTCTGCCTCCAGCACAGGACGAGACTGTGGAAGATGAGCTGTCCTGCCGGAGGGAGCCCAGCCGCTTCCCACGATCCTGCAGCGCTGGGTGGTGGCAGTGATCCCCACGTGTGGGCTCAGCTTCAGGTCATAGGAACCCTTTCAGGAGCTGGCCCGAGCTAAACATTAATTTCCTCAGTGAGCCAGCGGCTGCTGATACAAATGCTGAAAGCTCTACCCAGTGAAGGCAGTCATTCTTAGCTGGGATTGCTTCTCAATGGAAGCTGATGGCTCAGCCTCTAACTCAGATCCAGCCAAGCCTTCGAGTCCCTTAAAGGGACATGGTGGCAGGCAAGGAGGGCCCAAGCATAAGCATCAAGTTGGTGAACACAGGGTGTTTGGGCTCACAGAGGCCAGCCTGAATAGGAACACCAGTTTTCTTTTTTCTTTTATTTTTCTTTTTTCTTTTTCTTTTTTTTTTTTTTGAGACAGTCTCGCTCTGTCACCCAGGCTAGAGTGCAGGGTACGATCTCTGCTCACTGCAACCTCCACCTCCCAGGTTCAAGGAATTCTCGTTCCTCAGCCTCCTGAGTAGCTGGGATTACAGACGTGTGCCACCGCATCTGGCTTGCTTTTTTCTTTTACAGCTTTTCTGTTTTCTTCTTCTTCTTCTTCTTCTTTTTTTTTTTTTTGAGACAGTCTCGTTCTCCCCCAGGCTGGAGTGTAATGGTGCGATCTCTGCTCACTGCAACCTCTGCCTCCTGGGTTCAAGCGATTCTCCTTCCTCAGCCTCCTGAGTAGCTGGGATTACAGGCATCTGCCACCATGCCCAGCTAATTTTTGTATTTGTAGTAGAGATGGGGTTTCACCGTGTTGGCCAGGCTGGTCTCAAACTCCAGACCTCAGGTGATCCACCCGCCTCGGCCTTCCAAAGTGCTGGGATTACAGGTGTGAGCCTTCGTGCCCGGTCTTCTTTTTTTTTAATCTGCTGTCTTTAGAGAAAAATCAGACCTGCCAAATTTCTTGATTCCCTGAGGAGTGAGATTCCAAGAGGATACTGGCATCTCCTCATTAATTCCCTGTTGCTATCCTCTAGGTCATTTAGAAACCTGGGGAATGTCACCTGTGGGAAATGGAGGCCCCTCCCACCCCAGGCCAGCCGGGCTGGGCAGTGTGAGGGGGCCCATGCTGCTGGCCTCAGGCAGCTGAGACCATCTCTGGTCTGAGCCTCCAGACCAGAGGCTGCCCCCTGCCTACCCTCCAGGTCAGAGGCTCCCTCCCACCTGGCCCTGCCCTGTCAACTGGACCTGGTGAACCATGTACTCTCCCAGGAATTGCTCTGATCCCAGGGACCCTGGAAGGAGAGCATGCATGGTGTCTTGGTTGTGACTTTTTGGCTGCTTCACCCTGGACTGGCTACTTGATTCCCCTGAGGCTCAGCTTCCCCATCTGGACAACGGGAGTGGAAATTGTATTACTCATAGCACTAGAATAGAGATCAAGTGATTGCCAGTTTCAGAAGCAGCTTAAAAGGGGTAGCGATGGAGGACAGGGAGATGCTGATGCTGATGGTTTTGGGGTGCTGTGGGCTGCAAGGGCCTCTAGATGTCTCTGCTTAGCCCCTCCCTCTGAAAGGCCTGTCCACCCATGACTGCTGTTCCTCAGCAGGCACTTGCCCTGTGCCCACTGGAGTCCTCCTCAGTCTGTAATGGGATTGCTGTCATCAGCTCCATTTAGGGATGAGGAAGCGGACACACAAGACTGAGCCAGTCCCAGATCTGATGGGGAAGCTACTTCCAGACCCTGTCATCCCAGAGCCATGTCCCCAAGGCGTTCTGGGCTGTGTGCTTCCTTGGCTGCTGCGCTGAGTCCGGGTTGCTCTTAAGCTTCTGCCACTGCCTTGCGTTCCAGCTGCTTCCTTCTCATGGGCCTGGTGGCCATCCAGAGACCCTCCGCGCAGCCCCTCCTCAGCCTGAGGCCACCCCAATCCCGTGGCTTCTGTCCCCTCACTATGACCCTGGGTTGTTCCCATGCTCTGCAAAGCTCCTCCTGTCCAGCTTCTGCCTGGACAGCTCAGTGTCCGAGTTCTCTTCAAAGGCAGGGAGTGAGCTGGGCTCTCCATAGAAGGGCCTGCAGCCCAGAAGCCGCTGCCCGGGCATGCCTGGCCTTCCCTGGGTCACCAGGAAATGGAGCCACAGTGGCTGCAAGCAGAGCTCTCGCTGCTCAGGCGGCCACTGCGGAGCTGTCAGGGCTGAGCCAGAGGAGAGCCCCCAACTCAGGCAGCCGCAGACCGGGGCCAGGAAGGGTGGAAACAAAGCACTCCTGCCACCTCCCCCGCGGTGGGTGCCCCTGGTGACCATGGCACTTCCCACTGAGCTTGGCTGCCTGCAGCCCCAACCAGCGCATCGTCGTCTGCCACCTAGAATGTCGTCTGGCAGTGCCTGGGCCCGAGATGGCTTCTGTGACCACCCCGCTCCCTACGTTTCCCTCCCTGACGCTACTCTCCCAGGCAGCAGTGGGGATCAGGCCAAGGATGCTGGTGAGAAGTCCAGCTCTCGCTAGTCCCCACGAGCATGGCTGAGTCTCCTGCCTCCAGCTGGGCCCAACTGCCCCTGTCCCTGGAGGCCCCTTTCCATCCATCCTGTAAGACTCTGACGTTAGCTTCAGAAGCCACCAGGAGGTCCCCTGCACACTGTGGCCTCTGCACCCCAGATCATGGCCCCTGTTTGTCCACAAGCATTTTTTTTCCCCTGTTCTGGCCACCTGTTGGAGCTCTTCATAGGTGTGAGCGTCTGCATCGAGTTCCCTGTCATTCTCCAGAGCTGTTTGTCGTAGGTCCTGCTGTTGGAGGGCGCCCACTAGGACTCTGAGAGGTGAGACAGTTGGCATCACATGAATGGTGAGTCAGGGCTGGAGCAGGACTTGAGCCCTGAGTGTGCCGCCTGCCTGCAGGCGCCTCTGGGGAGCTGGCCACGGGCATCCTCACGTCTGCGCCCCTGGCACAGAGCACAGGCTTGGCCAGCAGCCGTCCAGAAGCGGCGGGGAATTGCTGAGCTGGAACCTGAGCGACCTCCAGGGCAGCCCCTTGCTCCAGTGTTGCGGTTGGATCCACAGCCTAGGGGATAGCAGCCAGCGGCTGCAGGAGGCCCCCGCTTACCCACTAAGGGTGATCTTGCTGTGAACATTCTCTCCTTCTCTCTCTTTCTCTCCCACTGGGCACCCCGTACTCCAGGCCCTTTAAGGCGCAGACTCCCAACCCTTCTTTCCCACCCGCCTCCAGCATGGGGGGGCTGCCGAATGCAAGGCAGGCATCCGGCTGCCGACAGCTTGTCTTCTCTTCAGGGTGTTGCTGGGGCCTAGCCACTGGGGTGCAGGGCAGGGTTCCAGTCCTGGCTCTGGGAAAGGCCGAGCTCATTAATCCACTGTGGGCTCCGTCACTGCTGCAGGAGGGACAGTACAGTACATTCTCTCCTGTCTTAAAGAAGTTGCTACAGATGGGAAATCCCAGAGCACAGGCCTGAGGATTTCTGCCAGCCTTGAGGGTTGGGCCTGGCTAAGCAAGTGCCCAGGACGGAGTCCGTCCGTCCAGGCATCAGCAGTCATTCGTTCCTGTGCCAGGCTGGGGGATAGAGCAGCATCCCACCCTTGATGGGGCAGGCTGAGCCTAGTGGGGCAGGCCCTACACCAACAACCCACAGGATGCACGTTGGCCAAGACCTGCTGCACACAGGAAGTGCAGGGCGGCCGCTGACCCTTGTCCACTCTGCAAGCTGGAGGATTAGCCCATTTCACAGTTGAGGCCAGGCCCCAGGGAGCACCTGCCAAAAATTAAAGGGACCCAGCCTGAGAGGGAACAAAGGGACCCAGCCTGAGAGGGAACACAGGAGCCTGGCCCCGAGGCTCCCCAACCCCTGTGCCTCTAGCTGTCATCTGTATTCCTTTCAGCAACTCAGGGTGCCTTGGGGGACACCCCCAGGTAGGTAGCGTGGCTGTTTAGTTCCAGGTAGCAGTGAGGCCTTGCCCTGAAGGGACCACATGTCAGCATGTGGCGTGCTGGGATGGGGCCAAGACCGGGCAGCCAGGCCCCAGAGGTTCGGGTTTGCAGTCTTAGAGCATCTCAGGATGGTTAGGGCCCCTGTGACCCCAGCTTCTCACTTGTGAGGAGCTTGAAGGGATTTGGGGGCCTTCTCAGTCGCCGAACCCAGCCTCTGTATCTGGAAACAACTTGAGCACGTGGGGAGGGCAGAATTCCTGCAAAGCAGCCTTCAGAGAACAGACGGCCCAGCACTGTGTGGGATGGAGAGGTGTACCCCACTTAAAGGGGACAGCCGTGGAGCCTCAGTGCTGGCTTCAGTGTTTAATTGAAATGTAACTAAGGTTACTTAATACACACAAGCATACAACTAGAAAGCCCCTTATGTTCTTGTTCTTACACAACTAAAACTAACACGTACAGCTTAAATACAACCAAAGCCAAAAACCGCGGACAGCGTCACCATTAATCACTGCTTTGCTGAGGCTCCTTGCCTTATGGAGTGCATGAACACTCAGGGTTGCTAGAGTGCTCCGCCTGCCTGTGCCCGCCTGTGCGAGAGGGCTCACCTTTTCCTTTCAGGGCCTCGGAGTGGTATGTGAGAGGGAACTTACTCTATTAGGGGAATTGGCTCACTTGGTGATAGAGGCTGAGAAGTCCCATGATAGGCTGCAAGCTGCAGAACCAGGAGAGCTGGGGACAGACCTCAGCCCAAGGACAAAGAGCCAAGAGCCTGGGGTGGGGGTGGGGTGGTGGGCAGCAAGTCCCAGAGGCCAGAGAACCTGGAGCTCTGATGCCCGATGGCAGGAAAAGAGCAACCTAGCTCCAGAAGAAAGAAACCTGAGTCCCCATTTCCTTAGCTTTTTATTCCACCAGGGCCCCTGCCCATCTGATGGTGCTCACCTGCAACCACGGCTCTCACGCCGGTCACCTCTGGAAGCACAGACTCACTGGGGCGGCCTGGCCATTCGAATCAAGTACCAAGCCGCCTGGGTTTCCCTTCCAGCACTGAGAATACGTAATGTGTCCCCGGGCGTCTGGGTATCCCCGAATCCAATCAAGTTGACACCTGAGTCACCTGCCACTCAGTGGGGAAAGCAGGCCTGGGGTGCCTGAATCACCAGACTGCGCTGCCGGTGAATGGTGGATCTGGCGTTCTCACGCCCGAGCCTCATGGGCAGCTGTGTCATTGTCATTTTGTTCCAGATCAGGTCAGAACAGAACAATGTGGCCACTGATTGATTTTCTCTTCCTCTCCTCCCTCCACAGACCGCGGCCTTCAGTGTCACAGCGTGGCCTTGCTTGTCTGCCACAGCGGGAGCTAAGCCGGCCCTGGGCCAGCACTCCGAGAGGTGGAAGGGGCCCTGCCAGCTCTGGGGAGCAGCAGCCTTGGGCTGTTCTGAGCTTTAGGCAAGAGAAGAGAAGCATCTCTTGCATCCGTGCCCCTGGGGGCCTCTTCAGCTTTGCAGTGGTTTGTGGGAAGACATACCTCCCAGAGGGGCATGGACTGCCACCAGGACTGACCCTGGCGTCGGGGAGAAGGACACTTGCAGAGCCTTGAGATCACCTGTTTGGCAGGTCCTGGACTGGGGCCGGGCAGGCAGGGGCAGGGAGGCGCCCCGGGTGGGCTTTGGGGCTGCGGCACTGCCACACATCCTTTCCCTCCTGGCCTGCCCTGCTGGGGCTCTACTGCCATCTATAGATGGTGTCCTGGGCCTGGGAAACTAGGTTCCCAGGGGTTGAGACCAGAAAGGTGACCAAGACAGATTTTTTAAGGTGCAGAAACTGCAGGGGGGCCTCAGTGACATCCATGAGGCCTTATTAGCAAAGGACACCCAGACCTCCAAGGTTTGTGGGCCCCTTCCACAAAGCTGTAAGTCCCAGCCCACCTACTCAGGGCCTTGCTCAGTGCTGTGGCCCGGTGGGGACACAGTTGCTCGTGGCCACTCAGTGGAGCTGGGCCTGCAGCAGACTCAAGGCTCCGAGTGCCCTGGGGGTCACCCCTCCCCTCCCCTCCTCAGAGCCCACCCTGAGAGGCAGCAGTGACCCCCATGGCACACACCTGCCAACAGCACTGGGGGCTTCTCCCCAGGAGACCACGCTGCCCTCCAAGACCAGGAGCAGCTGTGAGCTGGAGACAGCAGAGGGACCCCAGGGTGTCCCCTGCAGATCCCACCAGGGCCGCATCCATCTCAGTGTGGAGGACAGTGACGGGACCCTCACCATCCTCTTGCGTTTTGGCCCCCATTTGCTCCCTGAGCTCCAAGATAAGAATGGCCCCGAGAGAACTGCTGAACATTTGTTCATTGCTGTCACCTCCTGAGTCACTGGGGTCCCTCACCAGCACCTCCCTGACACCTGGGCTATGGAGAGGTTGGCGCCTGTCAGTGACCATCCTAATGCCTCTCGCTCACTCCCAAGCCACCATTTGAGAGGGAGGGGTGTTGGTGCCCTGACAGGGACTGGGCAGGGTGTCCAAACTTGGGGCTTCCCAGGCACCTGCAGTGTGAACACTGCTTGGCTGGCTCAAGATTAGGGCCGCGGAGGGGGCTGTGCACATACCAGTTACTTAAGCAGCCACGAGTGTCCCCCATGCCTTGGTGCGGGTCCTGGAGGCCTCTTGGGGGTGGGACCTTTGGGCAGGGTTTGCCCACTGACACGCCCGCCATGGGGCACTGGCTGCATGGGGCTCCTTGGACCCTGTAGACCCAGCAGACCCCGCCTGTGTCAGGCCAGCTGCCCGAAGGCACTTGGCTGTGGTCCCAGGGGACGGCTCTGCTGGCACACTCAGGAGCCTGGCCGCGGGGACTGCAGGGAGGGTGCCTGGACCCGTGGGGTTGCTTCATTGAGATAAAGCACACTTATCACATAGCACAAAGGACGTGCCATGGTGCTTTCCCCAAAAGTTGTGTTGCTTTTATCAGTTTTCTAACTTAATAAAAAGAGTTGAGAAAATTCTTTGCCTGCCTTGTGTGCTGGGATCAGTCTTGGAGACATTGCTGGTGGCTGACTTTGGTCTTGTCCCACCAGCCAAGGCTCAAGGCCTGCCTGCTGGCATCTGCCCCTCTCATGAGCTGGGAAGGGGGAACCCACCCAGATGAGAGGTCTCCCCATTCCTGTGCCTCCTGAAGTTGCTTTAGAAGCCATGAAGTTGATTCCGTGGAGAGTCCTGATCCTGTCTGCCCCTCCTGAGAGTGATTCTCTCCTGGAAACTCTGGTAAATAGAAGTTGGGAATGTAATTCCATCCATTCGAAAAGGCAGAACCTCCAGTTGATGCTCCTTTGTCTGAAAATAACCCGAGCGCCATTCAGAGGGGCGAAATGGCTCCAGGAGGCAGCTTCACGGCCGCAGCGCCAGCTCACGGCACCGTTGCGCCCACTGGTTGCACCGTGGGCCCTGGGCTACCTGCCCTCCTTGTGCGTTTTCATAGTCACCATGAACCTCATGAGCTCAAGCGTATGCTCACGGGTAAACATCGTGTTCTGTGTTTTGTGATCTCACCTTCAGGCGCCCCTCAGACAGCGGGCAGCCCGAGAAGGTCATGCCGTGGCGCAGCCTGCGTGCAGGGTGGCTCTGCTGTGAACAGGAACCCGGAGGTGCCCCAGCACGGTGGCTCTCAGCAGTGGCTTCCGTGGTGCTCAGTGGTGTGCTGGCCCACAAAATCCAAATAGCGCCTTCACAGTGTAAGAAGTGCTTCTGATGCTGGCGTAGGGGCATGACGCCAGATTCCTTAGAAAATGGAATGATCTTGAGCGGGTGTGTCTCAGAGGTGAGTATGGTGCGTGTAGAAGAGCCAAGAGCACAGAGGGCCTCGTCCCTCCCCCTGCCCAGAGGTGCAGCCCTGGGAGGGGCATCCTGGGACTCTGCCTCGCACTGTCTGCTCCTGTAGCAGTGGTGGGGACCACAGGTGAACGCTACCACTTCCACACAGGCCTGAGCGCTTCACTCTGGGCATCCAAAGCCAGGAGTTGGCTCCAGCTAGAGTCCAGACAGCAGCAGAGGTGAAGTTCCCTGTCACACAGTCACAGGGTGAGTGTGAGCCAGCTGTGGCCCACAGGGCTCCAACTCTCTCCCCCTCTCTCCCTCTCTCTCCAACTCCCACCCCCTCTCTCCCTGCCCTGCCGTCTTCCATGCAAGGCAGCGGTTTCCTGGTCCACCCTGGCCTTCGCAGCCCCGGCCATCCCATCTGCATTCCAGCCAGTGGAAAGGGGAGGAGAGAAAGTGATGGGCAAGCCTGTTTTAAGGGCATGTCCCAGAAGTTGCACCATAACTTCTCCATTTTCCCAACAGCTAGAACTCAGTCACATCCACGCCTGACTGCGAGCGGGACTGGAAAGTGCCCCGAGGAAACTCCAGGACTCCAACGCCAAGTAAAGGGAGCGTAGATATTAGACAGGTAGCAGCCTCTTCCTCTACATGCTGGGTCAGGGGTTGGAAGGAACCTGGGCACACCGCCCTGCCTCCCGCTTCTCTGGGAGCATGCAGAGCCGTCATCTGCCAAGATCCTGGCTCTTGTCAAACCCTTCTTGTCAAGCAGTTGTCAAGCCCACTGGCCAGTGCTTTGCATAACTACCTCCTTTAACCCTCACAGTGACCCCCGGAGGTAGACATTCTTGTCCTCTTCTTGCTGATGAAGAAATGGGTCCACAGGTCACAGTAACTTGCCCAATGTCTCATGCTGGAAAGAGGAGGAGGAGGAGGAGGAAAAAACACGGTTGCAACTGACAGAATGTGGATTTGGAGCTAGGCCCACCTGAGTTTGGGTTCAAGCTCTCACGTGTGGCTCTCATGTATGTGCAAGCTTGGTTAAACCACTTGATTCTCTGATACAGACTTAATGATAGTAGGGTTAAAAGTTGAGGTCAAATTCTATAAAGCACTAAACACCAGGACCAATGCCCAGATAGCCCTTTACAGGGGGAGAATGGCCGCCACATTACAGCAGTGGAACTGGGATTTGAAACCAAGCCATATGCTACATTGTGGGGGCTGGGGGCTGGGAGCAGTGTTGCTTCCAGTCATTGCCCAGCAGGCCTAGCTCCATGTTCCTTGGCCTCCCAGGGGTCAGACTGAGTCTGGGATGGGGCTTGGGGAAGGGAGAAGGCGCCTTCCCCATCAGTGATGGGGCAAGGTCTCCCTGGAAACCTCGGTCCCAAGATGGCCAGTGGAGCTTTCCTGGGTTGTGCCTGATGCAGGAAAGAAAACGGGCCATCTTGGAGGCTTTGGCATCCTGAGAGCCTGCCTGGGGGGACTGTCAAGTTGCCAAGGGCAAGGAGAGGGTAGCCAACTGCCTCCTCCACCTGGCTGCTCAGCCAGGTCTCCCTGCCTTCAAAGGACATTTCTTTGGTCAGGAATTGACAAGAATGAGCCCAGAGTCATCCACCCCAAGGGTGTGTGGCAACCATCCCTTGCTCAACACCGAAGGCTGTAGAATCATAGTGGGGAAAGAAGCAACTTCTTCAGAAGCAGTTGTCTAATGAGCACAGCTTGGAAAGAGCCTTGGTTCTTCTGGATCATCACTGGGGGGATATTTCGCAGAGCAAGAAACTTGCATGCCCCGTCCATCATGTCCCAGCCCCGGCCCCAGGCCCAGCCCCGATGGATCTGCCCGGCCTCTCTCCTTCAGGAGGTGGGAATGGTCTCTTCCAACTTGAAGAGGCCATGAAGGTGATCGGCCCCCCAGCTGCTCTTCTTCCCTCAGGCCCAACCCTACCTGACCTGCAGCTTGGCCCGCCCATGGCACCTGCAGAGGTTCAGGCCCTGCCCAGGGAGCCAGGGTGATTTGGGTGAATTTCCCAGAACGGGCACAGTATTGTCCTGCATCTTCCCTTGCCTTGTTGGGCTTTGGGATGTGGCTCTGCCTCATTAAAGGTCAAGGAAAAGCCTAGAATAGGCCGGAGGCTTCTTAACTTGGGATTTGGGATCAAATTCAGGGGGTCCATGCACTTGGGTGGGAGAAGAATGACACCTTTGTTTTCACTAACCTCTGACTGAGGTTAGTGATCAAGTGATCCGCCCACCTCGGCCTCCCAAAGTGCTGGGATTACAGGTGAGAGCCACCTTGCCTAGCCCCAGTCACTGTTGAGGTCACCATTTTAAAGCTGAGGAAACATGCTCAGCATGGCAGCAGAAGCTCTGGCAGTTTCTGTGTGTCTGGCCCCAGCTGCCCAGGCCCCCTGAACCTGAGGGGCCTTGCTCTGGCCCTGGGGTTGGCCTGGGTTTGGCACCTGGCGCTCGGGCCCCTGAGGGCTTGCAGTAGGGGAGCAGTGGCTTTTTTGAGTTGAATTTAGTAGGGCTGGACTCCTTTCCTGTCCTTTCTGCAGGTAAAGGAGATGAGCAGCGTTGCTCTGGTACGCAGAGAAGCTTCCAGACACTCCTGGGTTGCACGATAGATTAAGTAATTCTACTGATGGGCACCAGCTCCATGCCAGGACCCAGGGCTCCAAAGCCATTTCCAGGTAGACTCATCACAGCTTCTCCACTCAGCTTGCAGGGATGGTGGGGAACCAGGGAGGATGGGAGCAAGAGACACATCCTGCCAAGCCCACCCTGTGGTGGCTCTACCAGCGTCGGGACCGCAGAGGGAACAGGATGGCACAGTCTCATCCTGACACGTGCATGCAGGATAAATGCAGGCTCTGAGAGCGAGTGCCACGGATGACTCCTCCATGGCCGCACTTTCTTCACATTGGCTCCTGTGAGCTTCCTCAACGCTTTCGAAGCTGGCCCCGCTTCTGTCCACTCTGCAGAGTGAACGTTGAGGTACTCTGTGTCTCTCATCTGTACAACCCTAACTAGGGCTTCATCCAAGACTGTCGAGGAGCAGGTCCTGTCTCTCCCTCTCTCCATCTCCCCACTTCCCATGGAAAATAGTGAGATTTTTAAAATGGGAGTTGAGGCCATACCGAAAAGCCAGCACTGTTAAATGCAGCTGTGACATTTGCCTGAGAGAGGTGGCCGGGGTGTGGGGGGGCGGGGTTTCAGCTCCCAGTCTGCCCTCCAAGCTGGTGTTGCCAGCTGTGGCTGCCTTTCCTGTAGGCCTGCGAGGTCCCTGCCATGCCTGTCTCCTCCTCCCAGCAGTAGTGTGAGCTCTGCTCCGGGATCAAGGCCAGATCTTTGCAGCCCATGTGCTTGGCTCCCTCAGCTGAGCCTCAGGACGTGGGTCCTCAGTTTGTGCTGTGCAGCGTGAGGGGCCACACTGCAGTCAAGCCAGCTGGGTGCAAACAGCAGCTTTTCTTCTACTTGGTGGCCCTCCTTGGGAAGGTCCCTCTGCTCCTGTAACTTCATTTCCTCATTGATAACAAAGAAAAAAACAGATCATATTGCCTGTTGTAAGGATTGAACTAAATCGGGTAAAGAGGCTACTAGATTTCTGTCAATGATGTCCATTTCCTTTGCCCCATATACGTTTCCAACTTAAGAGAGAGAGTGTGTGTGTGTGAAAATTAACTAGAAAGAAAGTATTCCAGCTTTCTGGGGAGTTGAAGGCAATTTCAGTAAAAATGTATGTTTCTGGCCGGGCACGGTGGCTCATACCTGTAATCCCAGCAGTTTGGGAGGCTAAAGCAAGTGGATCACTGGAGGTCAGGAGTTCGAGACCAGCCTGGCCAACATGGTGAAACCCCCGTGGTGGCAGGCGCTTGTATTCCCAGCTACTCAGGAGGCTGAGGCAGGAGAATCGCTTGAACCCTGGAGGCAGAGGTTGTAGTAAGCCGAGATTGCACCACTGCCCCTCCAGCCAGGGTGACAGAGTTTGACTCTGTCTCAAAACAATAAACAACAACAAAAAGTTTCCCTTTTAGCTGTGGCTGCCAGGAAGCCCAGAGCCCACCAGGAGGTTCCTCACAGAGGCGGGTCGTCCCTCCTGTTGGCACAAGTGCTTTGTCCTCCTTCCATGGCTTGGAATTGTATGAGCCACCCCAGAGAAATGGTTACTGCAATCACAGGGTTCAAAGGACCTTAACTTCTGCTTGGAAAGCGTGCAGAGTCTTAAAAAACTTTGTGACTTCCTGATTTTCAGACTTTTCTCTTCAGGAGGCTGATCACCTCCAGGAAGATTGATTTCCTGTGTTGTTGGTGGGGACAGTCACCCCCAGGTCCAAGCCTCAGTGTGATGACTGAAAGAAGAGTGTTCTGGTCGGGTGCTTTGCTCAGTGCATGCTGAGCCCGGAGGGTCAGGCCATGGCTTAGCAGATCTTCCCCCGGCGACCTAGAATGTCACTGGGCATGAGCTGCGTTTGTCCAGGCTTGTCTGAGCTGGAGTCAGGGCTAGTGGGTGAGGAGATGTTTCTCTCGCTTCCCAGGTAAAAGCCAGGGCTTCAAATGCTTGTGGTGATGGAGAAAGAGCAGGAAGACACCAGGGCCACCTTCCTTGGGGGGAAGTAGTCTGGCACACAGGGCTTCCACCACAGAGAGGAGCTTTGTGATGGGGCCCCAGGCTGGGCAAGTCCTGAGGAACTCCTCTGGGATCTGGGGATGCGCTTTCCCAGAACCGTGCCTCTGCCCATGCCTGTTCCCCCCTTGCTTCCTCAATCACCCTTCTTTCATTTCACAAAAGAAAGTTATCTCTCGCCCCTCCTGAAACTCATTATGGTGCACTGCTCAGGGTGTAAAAACATCTGGGGCACCAAATGGACGTGTTAAGGTTGGGCAGCATGAGGGAAAGGTGGATTGCAAAGCATAGGGTTGTTAAACAGGGCAGTGCCTTTTGGAATTCAATTGACAAGCACATGACAAGATTCCATATCTTTGTGTGTCCATCTGCTCACCTGCCTGTCCATCCACCCATGCATCCACCCATCTACCCACCCATCCACTCACCCATCCACCTGCCCATGCACCCACTCATTAACCTACCCACCATTCATTCATCCACCCATCCACCCATCCACTTGTCCATCCATCCATCCATCCATCCCATCTACTCATTCATCTTACCTCCCTCCCTCCCCATTATTAAGTCATAATTCAGAAGTGAGATAGTTGTCACTAAAAATTTTTAGTTGTCAACTAAATAACATTTTAATTTAAATTTAAAAGCAATCAAACTTTTTTAATGGAAATTGAATTCTGAATTGGCCAATCAGTTTGCCAAGAAGTACTGGCTTTGCTAATGAGGTCACATGGTGGGTATTTTCTGTAAGTTGAACAACTTAAGGCTTTAGCCCTAAATATATTTGAAGCATGAAAATAATGCCCCAGATTATATACTTTGTAGCAGTTACACTTGTGATACCGTTTGAGAGCTAGACATAAGCCATGTGAAGGGTATATGGTTGTTCGCATTTGTTGTAGGAGGACACATGAACCAAAAGTGCCGATCAGTGGCTGTGTCTTCCCTCCAGAAGCCAGCACAGAGCTTGGGCGTGGGACTTAGCTGGATTTCCTCTCTGCCTTTTGGGGTGAGATACGGCTGATGCCTTGATGTGGAGGAGGAAGCAGCGGCATCGAGCCCATGCCCACAGTTGGCCTGAGGCCCACTCAGCACCTGGTGCCAACCCAGGGCAGTGAGAGGAGGTAGGAATTCCAGGAATGAGCCGGCTGGCCCTGGGCTGGTTCCAACAGGCTCCCTGCCCTGGCAGAGGCTCCAAATCTGAGCTTCCTTCCAGAGGAGGCCAGGCCAGGTGCAGCGATGGGGTTGGGAGTCTAAGGTAGGGACAGGAAGGGGTGACCCTGTAACCTGAAACAGTCCTATGAAAGTGGCCATTTTCCATTTGAAGGTCCCTCATCCCCAGGGAAAGCCCGTGGCCTAGGGGCGGCCACCTGTGAACTAGCTGGAGATGCTGTCTGCAGCCACAGCCCTGTCAGAAAAGAAGTGGGAGTCGCTGATGCTGCAAGACAGAGACCTAAACCGAAGTGTGGGGAGGACACTAGGAGGCCCCAAAAACCAAAAGGCCAGGGAGGAGCTCTCTTCAGACTCGGGACATGAATCCGGGGCCACTGCCGTCCGTGGCAGCTGTCCCGCGGCTCCGCTGACATGCTTCCAGATGAGTGCGCTGGGCCCCAGACTAAGCACTCTGCTCATCTCTTCAGCATCATGACGAATGTGCGCGCCACCTGCAGACTCTGCAGACCCTTCTGAAAAAGGAAATGGAGACAAAGGTTTAACAGCTTGGCCACTCGGCTACCAGCGGCAGTCCTGGAGTCTGTGCCCATCCTGGGGCCTCCGCGTGGCCCCCTCAGCCCCTGTCCATACTCCTCCACGACAGAGGGGACCCCAGTGTGCCCCTCTTCCAGGCTCCTCAGGGCAGGCAGCCCTGCTTTACTTGCCCAGCAGCCCTCTCCTTTGGACCGCAGAGAAGAACCGAGGTTGTCCAGGCAACCGCCACCTCAATCTCTGAAGCTGGGGGTGGGGTGGGAAGTCCAGGGACAGCTCAAAGGGAAGCAGTGACCAGGGAGGAAGGGAGAGAAAAGCAGGCTGGCTTCCAGCTGGTCCATTCCAAGAAGCCCTGTTATGACCCCCTCCCCACAACTCTCCCACTGAGGCCTCCGGGGTCCTTGTCCTCGGCAGGGTCCAGATTCTGTTTCCCAGGAAGAAGAAAGTTTCCCAAAGGCATGGGGAGAGAGGGGTAGCCCACACATCTGTGGGACTAGGGCTGTGTAGAGCAAGCCATTACCATATGAAAGGAGGAGGCCTTAGCGGGGGTGGGAAGGGCCCAGGCTGTCACTTGGATACCAAAGGCAGCTGGGGATGGCGGAAGGGGCAGGGGCGGGCAGGCAGCAAGGGAGGGCCCCAAACTGGGGTGGAGGGGGTAGGCTGCTGGGGCTCTGGGACCCACATCCTCCCCATTTAGGGCACATGCCACTTCCTCCCACTTGTCACTCCTCTCTGGCCCGGGGGGACACCCACAGGGGTGGCAGGACGGCGCTGGAACTGGACTGCTCCAGGACCCTCTGGATGATCTGCCACTGTGCCCCTGAAGAAACAGAGTCAAATTTTAAGGACAAAGGAGTCTCCGAAGACTCCAAAGAACAGGAACTGTGGCAGGGACGGGGAGGTGGGGGGCTTGGGGAGGCACTTCTTGCTGTGCAGAGGCTGGATGAGGGGGTTGTCACCCCCAGGCAGGGAGTTCAGGGAGTTCCAGGTCTGAGGTCTAACAATCTGCAGCTCAGCTCGCCCGCCCTCTGCTTCTGTGGCTGCTTCCAAGGAAATCGCAAGGCTTGCACGCTGCATGCCTCCTCTCCTCCCAAGCTCCTCCCTGGCTTTTTGGTTTTTGGGGCCTCCTAGTGTCCTCCCCACACTTCGGTTTAGGTCTCTGTCTTGCAGCATCAGCGACTCCCACTTCTTTTCCGGCAGGGCTGTGGCTGCAGACAGCATCTCCTGCTAGTTCACAGGTGGCCGCCCCTAGGCCACGGGCTTTCCCTGGGGATGAGGGACCTTCAAACGGAAAATGGCCACTTTCGTAGGAGCCACTTGGCGGTCAAGTCTGTGCTGTGGCAGAGGCTCTGGGCACAGCAGCATCCGTTAGGAGTGGGCAGAGACTTAAGCCCCTACTGAATGGCTGGCTAGTGTTCTTGGGGCCCTCTGCGCTTTGTGTCTCTGCTGTTCTGGAAGAGAATGGAATCTTCTCGCTCTTCTTGCCTCCCAGACAGAGCCTGTCCCTGGCTCAGAACCAGTTGCGGTGGAGAGCGGAGGAGGGAGGCCATGGGAACCACTCCTCTTGCCCTGCTGAGGGTGTCTGGGTGGATGAGGGCCACCGCGGACCCAGGCCAGGATGGCTGCTGTGGGGGAGGAGACCGCCAGGGCAGCAGTGACAGCCAAGAGCAGTGAGCGAGAGAAAAAAGACCAGTGTTTTACTGGCTTATGGGGAGGCAGCTATCACCAGGGCTACAAGACTCTGCAAAGAAACCCGTGCACTTCCAAGTTCGTGGTGAAAGGAAAGACACTTGGCAGCTGGGCAGGATTTTATTTTTTGAGACAGAGTCTCGCTCTGTTGCCAGGCTGGAGTGCAGCGGCACGATCTCGGCTCACTGCAACCTCCGCCTCCCGGGTTCAAGCAATTCTCCTCCCTCAACCTCCCGAGTAGCTGGGATTACAGGTATGTGCCACCACGCCTGGCTAATTTTTGTATTTTTAGTAGATAGATATGGGGTTTCACCACGCCCAGCTAATTTTTGTATTTTTACTAGAGGCGGGGCTTCACCATGTTGGCCAGGCTGGTCTTGAACCCCTGAGCTCAAGTGACCCGACCACCTCGGCCTCCCAAAGTGCTGGGATTATAGGCGTGAGCCACCACGCCTGGCCAGGACTTTCTTTTTGGTGACTGTCAGGGAGGGGCGGGGAGCTGGGAAGTGGCAGAGCGGGGACTCCAGGCAGCTTTGCCCAGGTTCTCTGCATTACTGCGAGCGGCACAGTTCTCCAAGGCCCAGCTGGACTTAAGGGTCTTCCTATAGGTCCAGAAAGCGCAGACCTGGAAGAGTAGGAAGCTAGTAATCTAATCTAAAAATGGAAGGCACAGGCTGTGCTGGTGGAGCCAGTGACAGCTGGAGCCCTGTGTGTCTCCAGGGGAGCCCCGACATTCCGGGATCAGACCCAGTGAATCAGCCGGGAGCTACAAGCAGAGAGGATCTTTCTTCTTGAATTAGTTTCTGGCAGTTGCTCTAGTTTGGGGGTGGGACGGGGTGGAGAATGTTAGCGAAGAGAGAGAAACTAACATTAAGGGAAGTCGCAGGCTCTATAGCAAAGTTCCTGTTCACTGTATTGATTTATCTGGAAATAGGAAGTTTTGGCTCTTGGCATAAACTGTTTGTTTGACTTTAGGGCTGATCAGTCACTCTCTGGGTTTGGGTCCCACTCCGAGAGAGTGAAATGCGTCCCCAGCAGCTGCTCGGTGCATAAGGCGTCTCCTCAAGAGCTATGGGGGTGGATGGGGAGTATCCCTTCTACAGGAATCAGGAATAGGAATAAGTCACAGCACCAACCAGAACTTCACAGGAAATTTATTATTTTTTGAAAGGGCTGAGGGAGACTTTACAAGGGTCTGAAGCTGGTAACTAGAAAGAAAGATAAATAAAATACGAAGCCAGTATGTTGTGGCAAAATTCGAGAAAACACACTGAAAAAAATCTTTACAGTTTAAAACTGCTTCACTTTATACATAATTACAAATGAATATACAGCATCTGGGTTTTAACCCGTCTTTTTTATTTAATAGGATTTAGCACACAAATGTCCATAGAGCATTTGCAAACAAGCAATGAGAGCAGAGGTATCCGGTGTATCCCAACCACCCTCCTGCGGATCCCCACGCCTCCCCTGCGCATCCCATGCGGGCAGCAGCACACAGGAGACCACAGGCTAAGCCTGAACCACAGGCAGACTCACCAGGCACGCCCCATGGCCTGTGCTCATGCCCTCAGGTGGTGACGAAAGGTAGGGGAAGCTCAGGCCGGGGAAGGTGTGGGGGGTGAGTGCTTCCTGCAGAAGCCCCTCCGGACTGCAGCACAGGTGGTCCCACCTGGTTGTAGGGCAGGTCACTCACTTCGGTGGCAGGGGACACAGCCAGTGGGGGGTTGCACGCCTTTAACCCTTAGTGAGATGGAGAAGTAATTCATGGCCTATCAATCTTTTGACAATTAAATTAGATGAGTACTTGGAAAGATGCCTTTATTTTCCCTTCCTCCCCCCCGCCTCCCTTTTATGGCAGCATTAAAACACTTTTCATTTTAAAGCCTGGCCAGCAGGCAGTAGATTCCAAGGCTCTGGTTAACTAGGAATGCTTTGCTACATTGAAAGGAAAGTTCAAAACCAAGCCCAAACTCCCTGCCCTCTTCTTTGTCTCTGAGGATGGACGAGAGCGACGGGGCTGGCTGGGACGCATCCATAGGTGGCTGCGCACCTAGACGGTCCTGCTGAAGGAAGGCAAGGCACACAGATCTCCAGCAGCCGCTGCCCCAATTCCATCCACAGGGTTATTTCTAGGCTCCCACATTCCAAGGACATCCAAAACGCAGAGGGTGCACATCGTTCTGCAGTGTCTGGGGTCACCTCACAGCCACCCTCTTTGTGACCACTTGAAGCCCATTCACCAGGACTGTCTTTCTAAACTCCCTCCCAGGGCCTGCCTGGCTGTCCTCTGGGCACAGCTGGGCCACCATCATTAGAGTAAACCTCAACTCCAATGCAAATACTAAAATCCTTGGGAAGACCTGGCTACAGAAAAAGAGCCCTAGAAACAAAAATGATGAAATAGAAAGCACTTCTGTGGACAGCAACTTCTGGATCAAGTTCTGGCCTCTAAGGTTATAGTCCCACCCTCTACTAAGGCAGGGTCTATCTAGTTCAACCCTTGCATGCACTAACACCTCCCCTCCCACATCAAGAAACAACGCCAAAGGTCTCAAAACTTTGTGCTCACGACTAATACTGAGGCCTCAGGAAGGTAACAAATACGGGAGAAAATGAGCAAAGGGGCGACTCTGAATAGTATTACCCTGAGACACAGAAGGGGAAAAAAGTTAAGATTCGTACCTTTCCAAAAAAACCTTGGTAAGGATTCTTCCCCCCAGATAGCTCTCACGGGGGTAGAGGGAATACTGGCAAAGGTTGAAAGTGGCAGTTTGCATGTTTTTAACCCTCTCCATTTTCTAAGAAGAAAACACAGTCAATACATTTGATTGTCTTGAAAATGAAGCCAACCGATGAGAGCATTTAAAGTGCACATGTCACCTAACGACAACGACTGAGATGACTGGAATTGAGAGAAGACGCAGTCTCCTTCCAGGAAGCTCACTCGATTCTGGAAATCTGGGGGCTCTGGATAGGAACTCCATCTTTCCCCCAAAACTTAAGCACAGTTTCAGGCACGTGATTTCTTTAGCTTGATGGAGAACATGGTGTCCCGGCGTGGAAACAGTATGGGGAATTCAGTCCGAGTCACCCCAAAAAAACAACCCCTTCTCATGTGATAGAAACCAAGACAGGCCATTAGATCCAGCAACTAGAGCACTGTCAAGGCCATGAGCAAAAGCACAGGCAGCCACCATCCCAGGTAAATCCCCAGGACAGGAACAAATCCCCCTGAGGACAACTTCCAAGGGGGGAAGAGAGATGACAAAGGTATGTAAGCACAGTTCTTGGTAAGCGGTTCTGTTGCTGCACTGCAGACTGTATTCCTGGATGAAGTTGGGTGGTTTGAGGGAATTCCGGGCACTACTTTGATTTTAAACTTGTCCAACCAGAACCTGACCAAATCGTTTTGAGTGGGGTCTGGGCAGATGTGAAATCTCTATTTTTAAAAAAGACCACCAAAACAACCAAAGCAGATGAAACATCACAGCTGGGCGGGGAGTAAGAGACCCTCTAACATTGATGTCAAGCTCTGTGGCGACGTGCTCTAACTTCAGCATCCACGGTGTTTTTGTGAAGAGCACGTACGCAAGTAAATCCCATCAGCACCAACCTCGTATTGTTCCAAACCCGGAGAACAGGGGCACCCGGCCTACATTTACAAGGAGAAGAATGCAGGTTCAGTACTGCCCTCCTGCAAATCCCAGGAGGGGAACTCGGAGCCAGTGCCCAGAACAGACAGCCAAGCCCCGGGTAGATCTCAGGAAAGTCACGACAGATTCAGCTGTAACTTGGAGTTGTACAAATAGGTGAAAGAAAGAAACTTAACTTTTTGTTTAGGGTCTTTGCAAGGGGACATATTTTCAATAGAAAAATCAGCAGGTTTTGGCCTTTGGTCTGTTTCTGAAGGGTGAGTATTCTCCATGACAGAAAAAGGCAAAGGTAGGTCAGAGGTGGCGAGTTTCTTCATTCTCAAACAAGGGAGAAGACATCCTTTGATTAAAGAATGAGGCGGGGTGGGGGAGGGAAGGACATGGACCCCCTCCCTTTAAAATTTCATCTGGGCCTTCAAGGCACTTCAAAAGACACAGAGTGAACAGTGCTGGCTGCCACTTCACTCGGTATTGACTGGATAGTTTAGACTGTTGGGCTAGACCTGGCTCACCCTTAAAAAAAAACAAACACAAACACACAAATACAATAAATAAAACAAATGTAGGCTACAAATTTTAAACCAGACCTCTTTCAAATAAACTGAAAGATAAATATCTCCATCTGCAAGGCCAGCTTGCAATTCATCAATAAGCACCAAGTTACAGATTTTTCTTTTTTTAAGTGTGCTCAAAAGCCCCATGCTTCCGAGGGGCAAAAAAGCAAGAATTGAAGGCCACGTTGGAAGCACAAAATTTTCCAGGGCCTCCCTTCTGGTGTACGGGGCCTCAGAGGGCAACATTACCATGAACTGTCCTGCACACACCAGCTGGGGAAAGCCTCAAGTGAACAAAGATGAAAACACGGTGGGAAAAGCAAAAGCAAAGCCGAGCAGCAGGCAGCCATCTGTATCTGCTTCCAGGGGCAGAGTACAATTCAACAACAGACCTTTACATGTATTTTTGAAGAAATCCAATTTTGCCAAGGCCTCCTAACATAAGAAGGGCGCTTTCACAACCACGCCTTCCGGGCCAGCTCCTCTCCAGATCTGCACTGGCAGGAACTGCTACACATGGCTTCACCCTTCGCCTGAACCCACTTCTCAGCCAGCTGTCCTAGCTTCAGAGCACAGCTTCTGCCTGGCCTGGGTGCGAGGCTGACCCCTGGCAGTGGTGTGCCCTCACCCAGCAAGGGCCAGACAGCTGCTGTCTGGGAGAGGCACGACGGGGGCTCAGGAACACAGCCAGGAGGCCGTGGCCCCTTCTGAGTGGTCAGTGACAATCAAAAGGTGTCACGCTGCAGGGATAATGGTGAGTAGGCCTCTTCACTTTATCCATGGCCAAAACATGTGGGTAAACATGCTGGAAAACCAGGATATTTCTTCTGGATCTGATGACAGAATGAGATACTATGGGTTGTTTTGTTGCTTTAGTGCCTGAAACACCGAGATCGAGGTGGTGCACATCACGTCTTTTATACACATCAAGCCTTCTCTCACTGGTTTCACAAATGTTTGTCATCCCTAAAATGAAATGAGAAATACATGCAAAACACGGGTGGTATGTGCCCGGGATGGGTTTAGAGGGAAACCAGTCTCTGAGGAGTACTGGGTGAACTGCTGATATGCGGGGGCTCCGGGTCCGTCCAGGCACTGCCCTTGTGCTAAGTTGACCAGACGCCTGGTGCAGACTGGGCCTTCTTCTGGCATTCCCCGTGTGTATATGCAGACAGGTCCCCATGTACGTACACAGATCAAGTCCAAAACATCTGCTGTTTGGTTTTGTGTTCCCCCAAATAAAAGGCATTCGGAGGTTCAGACCTTACTTGGATACACTCTTTCAGCCTTTAGGAATTCCTGACGTGTCCAAAACCATCACCTGTACTTACGAGGCCATTACTTTCAGTGTAATCCTGAGTAGGGCCAGCCCAACCTGAGAGTCCTGGGCAGTCACAAATCATGGCCGAAGCAGAGTCTGGGCCTCCTTCCCCACCCGACACTCAATATCATCTGTTGCTTATTGTCCAGGACCTGGGGCCGCCCAGGAGGACTGGACGCTGAGGAGCAGTGGGCGTCCAGTGTAAGAGACTTGTGCACGCGGGGACAGCAGGAGAGGTGGGCTGGCCAGGATCAGGAGGCAGCTGCCTCAGCAGAGAGGAAGAGGGTCAGCAGAAGATCTCTTCACCCTCTGCTGATACTTCTGACGCGGGACCATCTGGAAATGTGAAAACCAAGAATGAAAAAAATTCAGAAAAACTGCTCCTTTCATTGAACTTCCTCCCCATCCCAAAGTCTTCTGTAATGCAAACAGGCGACTGGGGCTTATGGGCAATTAACTCTTCTGCGCACCGGGGTTTCTGAACAAATTTGGTTAATAAGGTTCTTAAGTGATATCCTTCACTGCCTAATGCTCCCTTTAACTTTTAAATAATCACTAGAATTTATGAAGAGGCCAGGAAAATGTACTTTTTCTTTAACCTCCCACACAGAAAGGAGAGATCAATCCTAAAGAGAAGGATTCAGGGGAAAAAGTGGTACATGAACAGGGAGGCATTTAGTGGAATTCAGCCGCAGGCTCTGTGGCCGCTGGCACATTAGTTAGCCTCTGTGAGCCTCAGTTTCCTCACTTCTCTTGGGGTTAGCAGTGCCAACTTCATACAGTCATTTGAGGGTTAAATCACCAAATGCTAGCTGTTACCAATGACTACTCTAGGCCCAGAAAGGCAAGGAGGACTTGAATTACTTCATTGAGGGGTGAGCTCCAGTTCCTCGATCGGATAATGCCTTGAAAATGAAACCCATGCTCTCTGCTTCTGCACACGTGCCACACAGAGTGGGTTCTTAATGTTCGCTGCATGAGTGCTCTTAGCAAGCGGAGCTGGTGAAAAGGATGGCAGTTTGGCTTTTGAGCATCTGAACTGTCCCCTTTTCAACCCCGCCCCATGCCACTAAAATCTACCCTCTCTCAGAATGCACAGACACTATGGCCACAGGGAGAGCAGGTGTGCGTGACTCACCACCGGGCTGAGAGCGGCTGGTTTTGTTCTTCTTTTTTTTCTCCTTCTTTTCCTTTGGCTTTGTTAACCCAAACAGGCGGGTAGAGGCAGAGGTGGACGCAGGGGCCTGGCTCTGCCCTTCTGGTCCTTTGTTTGTCTGGCTGGTTGAACTCAGTATGTGAAAAGGCCCCTTATCTTTGTGTGTCCGAGAGATGCTGTTCCTTTTTGGGGACACTGAAAGTTCTGAGTCCAATGACCCTGATTTGGCTATGGAAGGTGCAGATGGCGAGGGGGGCTCCTCAGGACTGGGGAAGAACGATGGGATCCTCATCAGCTTGGTATGTGGATGGGAAACCTGTACATATTCAAGAGAAGGGTTTTCACTTGGAGGCTGTCAGCGTCCGTGATGCCAACTCAATAAATCCTGGCTGAATTCAACTGGGTGTGCTGGCTGGGTACTTACCCACCTCTGCGAACTCTACAGAGCTCACGTCTGTGGACTGCATAGAGCTTGAAGGTTTCATTAGCTGCCCTCCCCCAAGTAGTATCTATAAACATGTTAAAAATATCGCCTTTAATGCTGTTAATACTTTTACTACATACACAAACGCCGGCGTTGTAAAAAACCAATAGTACCTTTGATGGGGCGACTTAGAAAAGAATTCCCATTCCCTGAAGAAACAAGGAGAGCTGCTTAAGATTGCTCTACACAGGGATGCAGATAATTATTTTAAGGCAAAGAGATTATAGAAGCCTGTTCCGGTTAGAGGATAAGTGGAAAAGCCGAGCTTACACCAAGAATCCTAGTCACAGGTTAAACCAGAGATAAAGAGGATCATCTACTCTGGGTTCTCTTAGCTGCCTGGGAACCCTCCTTTGTCAAAGCACCGATTTTATTGGGATGGGGGTGGAATCCCTCCTTATGTCATAAAAAGCAACACATGGCATTTGCTGCTCCCCACCCCCAATATATTTGGCAACATCTGCAGAAAGCTACAACTGCCCCCTACCCTGGAAGCTGTCAGTATAATTTTCTTTCGTGGTCCAAGATCAATCAATCAAACAAACGGCAACATGGTATGCATTTCAAAACACAGGCAGATCTGTGTACACCCAGGCTCTCCATCTGCCACAAGCATCCATGTTTCGAAATAACCAAGGAATATCACTGAAATAAGCTCAGGAGTGAGTGTGCTGAATAACCAAAAGCCTTCCAATATAAGCAGCAGCTATAGAGAAAGAGAGGTTTTTCATCAGCAGTAGAGAGGCAAATCAGGAACTATGCAGAGTGCAGCTGTCTCAACATCCCCAAGCAAGAATATCATCCATCCACGAGAGGAGTGGCGGCCTCCCCTAGTTGCTGGGATGGGCGTTTCCCTCTGTAACTGCCTCCCACCGATCCTGCCACATGGGTTCTTCCAGCAACTCTGGCCTGAGAGCCATTTCCTGCTGTCTCAGGACCACAGGCACCACATGTTCTGGAGGCTCTTTTATTCTTGGTGTGCTTCCCCATTAAGCTACAAGTTCCTTCAGGTTGGGGCCATGCCTGATTTCTGATGTGGCACAGAGCAGTGGCGTTGCTCCTAAAATCCTGGATGGCTGACTGCCATTTTCTCAGACACACTGAGACTCCTCTAGCTGAGGGAAGTGCCAACTCCAAATATCCATTACTGCCCTGGCCAAAATGCCCCAGCACTTCCATTCTCTTTTTCAGCCTCTTAGAGATGCAAAAAGCAGAAGAAGACTTTCTGCCTCTGCCTCTCTTTCGGGGTAAAACAAAGATTCTTTTTGTTTTTCTGTGTGTGTTTTTTTGAGACGGAGTTGCTCAGGCTGGAGTGCAGTGGCGAGATCTCGGCTCGCTGCAATCCCCACCTCCCCGGTTCAAGCGATTCTCATGCCTCAGACTCCCAAGCAGCTGGGATTATAGGCGCCTGCCACCACACCCAGCTAATTTCTGTATTTTTAGTAGAGACGCCGTTTCGCCATGTTGACCAGGCTGGTCTCAAACTCCTGGCCTCAAGAGATCCACCTGCCTCGGCCTCCCAAGGTGCTGGGATTTATAGGTGTGAGCCATTGTGTCCAGCTACAAAGATTCTTAAAAACTGTTTTTTTTTTTTGTTTGTTTGTTTGTTTTTTTTTTTTTTTTTTTAGGAGAGACAGAGTCTCCCTCTGTTGCCCAGGCTGGTCAAGCTACCCTCTCACCTCAGCCTCCTAAAGTGCTGGGATCACAGGCATGAGCATCTGGCCAAAAACAGGCTCTATATTTCTGCTCACTTTCTTACCTTGCTTAATACACAGGGGGTCTTAATTAATATCATCATTAGGTTGCTCTCGGCAGGGAGTCCCATTACCTGACACAGGTCCCGTTCTGTCTGCCGCTGGCTGAGCCGCTCTGCCTCCCGGCGCAGCTGCTCCTGTTCCCTCTCAAGCTGTTTCTGGGCAGCACGCAGTCGCTCCAGGTCATACTGGTATGTGCCCTTCTTCTGCTGGAGCTCCTCCCGCTCCTTTTCCAGGTCCTGCTGCCCCTGCTGCACCTCCTCCTCGCGCTGGGCCAGGAGGGCCTCCCGCTCCCGCAGCTCCCTCTCACGAGCTTCCCACTCACGCTCGCGCCTGCGCTTCTCCTCGAGGTACTGGGCCTGCTGCTTCTGCAGGTTGGCCAGGTCCTGGCGCTGCTTCTCCAGGCTGCGCTGCTTCTCCTGCTCAATGAGGGAGCTCGGGCGGGACAAGCTGCGAGTGAGCGCCCTCTCGCTCAGCACCAGTTTCTGGTCCTCAATGTAGCTGTCCTGCTGCAGCACCACACCCTGGGAGGCACACAGAGGGGAGCCCTGCAACTCTGGCCAGGACGACAGCGAGCTTCTGGATCCCTCCCGACCCCACAGCAGGGGGCACCAGGCACTATGACGGACTAGAACTCTCCCCTCATTTTTCAAGCCCGTCTCATAAAAATGCTCCAGGATAATTGCAGCTGTTTATCATACAAGAACCTCAAAGGTGCAGGAACTCACGGGTTTTTGTCAATCTGGTTGCATGCTGTTTGCAGTCAGTGGTATTACCTGGGGTGGGGGGGGGGGTGGTTGTGTGTGTGTGTGTCTGTGTGGGTGGGTGGGTTGTGTGTGTGTGTGTTGGAAGTGGGAGAAAGTAGGAACGAGACAGGTTAGATCTTCAAGAAAGGAAGTGAGCAGAATTTGAGGATGTTCCTGGGAAGTCCGAAACAGAAGCTGTATTAGGAAGGCCACTCTATTCAAATACCACAGAGATACGGAATATAGAAACTTATAATCATACTTAAGGCTTTCTAAAGTGAAGTAATCTCCCAGATGCATGTTAGCATGCTATGTGATTTGTAGCATGGTTATCAAGCCATGCCTACGGCACACCAGCTCTTCACTAATTCTAGTCCTGGAAGGTCGATGCATTCTGTAACTTTCTCACCACGAGAGCCAGTCTTCCCTAGACTGAGGGCCCCATTTATCCATTAAACATCCTGCAAACCTCAAAGATCCAAGTCAACAACAGCCCCAAGCTGCTGTTCTCTAGACAAATAAACGCAGGGATGGAAGATGAAGGCACGCACCTGCAGAGCGCTGAGGAGCTCGTAGAGATGAACAACGCTCTGGACAACCTGCTGCCAAAGGAACAAAATGGAAACATTCGTTTCAGGGCTTTATGAATCTCAGAATCCATCACACTAATGTTTACCTGATAAGATGGCTCCTTTAAGATACAACTAAATGCTTATATCTTTATGAAATATTTTCAAATTGAAAGCACCAAAGAAACTAAGTGAGCACCAGCAGCCAAGAAAAACAAACGAAGACCACAGTGACCTATGTATAGGAGGAACATCAGCACAAGTTAAAATGTAATAGAAAGCTTCCATTACTTAAAATGACTAGAATAAAAACAGCATACATATCAACGCAACAGAACAGAAATTCCAGAAACTTCTCATAACAATTTAGCATGTAAATAGCATTTCAAATTAATGGAAAGAATATTCAATTAATTGTTCTGAGAAAATTGGCTAAATTTCTGAAAAAAATTGAGTTGAGATCTTAGCTCACACACAAAAAAAGGTTCAAATATCTGAAAATGTTAAAGGCAAAAAATAAACCATATTTATGTCCAGCCAGGGCAAGACAGCGAGATCCTATTTCAAAAAGAAAAAAAAAGAGCTGGAAGGAACTAGAACTGTTTTCTAATCTTGAAACAGGGAAGGCTTTGCAAACACAGAAGTAATGGAAGAAACCAGAAGATTTTTTTCAAAAATTTCTATGTAAAAATGTAAAATTAAAATTAAAAGGCAAAGAACTAATAGAAATTCAAATGGAAAAATCTTTCATTTAAAAAAGGCTCTCATAGAACATTATGACAAAAAAAATACCCTAGTAGAAAAATAGGCCAGGAACACAAACCAGCAATTTACATTAGAAATATAAATGGCCAATAGCATAACATATTAAAAATTACTCAACCTTATTTGAAATCAAATAAATGCAAAATAAAATAAATGACCCAAACTTATCAAACGAACAAAAACTTAATAAGAATGATAATACTCAATGTTGGTAAAAGATGAAAATGAGCATTTGTATGTCTAATGGGTAGTACCAAGCACTGCAAAACCTCCTTTCAAAAGCATTTTGGCATACTCGGGAAATAATCAGAGAGCTGTGAAAAAACAATGTATGTACAAAGATTTTCTTGGCTCACTGCTTTAAAAGCAAAACGTAGAAAAACGGTTAACTATCACAAAGACTAAGTAAATTATGGTACACAATAAGATGAAGCTGTGCAACAGCATGCTTTGTAAAAACATGCCTTGGGGAAATGTTTTTAATGCATATTAAGAGGAAAAAAAGCAAGATATGAAGCTCTACGAAGTATTGCTATGAATTATGTAAAACTATTTTTGTACTATTCACACATATACAACTCGGATATGTTATGTAGAAGGCTGGAAATATAAACACCAAACTTTTTTTTTTTTTTTTTTTTTTTTGAGACGGAGTCTCGCTCTGTCGCCCAGGCCGGACTGCGGACTGCAGTGGCGCAATCTCGGCTCACTGCAAGCTCCGCCTCCCGGGTTCACGCCATTCTCCTGCCTCAGCCTCCCGAGTAGCTGGGACTACAGGCGCCCGCCACCGCGCCCGGCTAATTTTTTGTATTTTTAGTAGAGACGGGGTTTCACCTTGTTAGCCAGGATGGTCTCGATCTCCTGACCTCATGATCCACCCGCCTCGGCCTCCCAAAGTGCTGGGAAAACACCAAACATTTAACGGTAGCTATTTTTCAGTGGTGGGATTATGTTTATTATCAAGTAACTTATGTTACTTATCTACCATGAACATGTATTCCTTTTATAATACATTTAAAAACAAAACACAAAAATCTTAATTACCAGGCTTAGCTCTTCTGAGAAAATTTTTTACCCCTTATTCTTTTTTTTTTGAGATGGATACGGAGTTTCACTCTTGTCCAGGCTGGAGTGCAGTGGTGCGATCTTGGCCCACTGCAACCTCCACCTCCTGGGTTCAAGCAATTCTCCTGCCTCAGCCTCCTGAGTAGCTGGGATTACAGGCGTCCACCACCATGCCTGGCTAATATTTTTAGTAGAGACAGGGTTTCACCATGTTAGCCAGGCTGGTCTTGAACTCCTGACCTCAAGTGATCCACCCACCTCGGCCTCCCAAAGTGTTGGGATTACAGGCGTGAGCCACCGAGCCCGGCCCCTCTTATTTTATTCTTAATAAACAGAAGTAACAGAAGAACCTGCCGACTCTAGCTAAGCATTTATAGTGTCTAATCCATACTGGAATGTCTGAAAAACAAACAGGTCTTGTACTATTTCTTACCCTGATTCTTGTAACTAAATATAGAGGGAAAAGTCGCCATAAAGAAAAATCAAGGCCAGGAGCAGTGACTCACGCCTGTAACCCCAGCACTTTGGGAGGCTGAGGTAGGCAGATCACCTGAGGTCAGGAGTTCGAGACCAGCCTGGGCAACATGGTGAAACCCCATCTCTACTAAAATACAAAAAAATTAGCCAGGTATGGTAGTGCGGGCCTGTAGTCCCAGCTACTCTGGAGGCCGAGGCAGGAGAATTGCTTGAACCTGGGACGTGGAAGCTGCTGTGAGCTAATTTCAAGCAGCAGATCCAGAGAGCAAGTAGCTTCCATAAGCTCAGGTTTGTCATTTAAAGATAAGCACACTGAAGGATTCCTTCAGGACTCCACTGTATTTAGACTTTTGTGGCAACAAATATAAAACAATATCCTTCTGTATTTTAGGGGGAAAAAGGAAAGATTCCCCTTAAAATTTCAAAAATAAAGTTCCTTGGAGACTTTTAACTTAACGTTAAAAGCAAGGACAAGAAAAAGAAGAAACACAGTCAACATCCTTGAGAACTATACTCTAAAAAGCAATTATCATGTATCGGCTTCTATTCTGCTTACAAAGTCAGATACTCAGAATTAATTTTAGAGATGGCAGTAATCTGAAGATTATGTCACAACAAGGAGTCCTGGGGGTGGGATGGGGGATGGGCATCCTTCCAGAAGGACACCATGACTGCTTCACAGATGAAACACATATTAAGTCTAAAGCAATACTCAAAGAAGAAGATATGGCTGGGCGCGGTGGCTCATGCCTGTAATCCCAGCACTTTTGGAGGCCCAGGTGGGCAGATTGCCTGAGGTCAGGAGTTCAAGATCAGCCCGGACAACATGATGAAAACTCGTCTCTACTAAAAATACAAAAAATTAGTCAGGTGTAGTGGCGTATGCCTATAATTCCAGCTACTCGGGAGGCTGAGGCAGGGGAATCGCTTGAATCCAGGAGATGGAGGTTGCAGTGAGCTGAGATCGCACCACCGTACTCCAGCCTGGACAACAGAGCAAGATCCATCCCCAGAAAAAAAAAAAAAAAAAAAAAAGATGATGATATAACTTGAGTACTTGAAGGATAAGAAATTACTGTGTCAAATTACCCACAAGTTAAATGCCCATGTTCCAGACCTGTGGCTCTTAGTATCAGGCTTGTGATAGAGAAAAGGCTGCTATGAATTCTACTCAGTGTGCTTAGACCAAAGGAAACCACCACAGGGATTTCACAGGCCCTATTTAGAGAAAGCTCATTAAAAGCAAGAAGCGCTGGATAAGATGGCTTATGTCTGTCATCCCAGCACCTTGGGAGGCTAAGGCAGGTGGACTGCCTGTGTCCAGGAGTTTATGACCAGCCTGGACAACATGGCAAAGCCCTGTCTCTACAAAAAATACAAAAGTTAGCCGGGCATGGTGGCAGGCATGCCTGTAGTCCCAGCTACTCTGGAGGATTGCCTGAGCCTGGGAGGTAGAGGTTGCAGCGAGCTGGGCGATAGAGTGAGACCCCATCTCAAACAAACAAACAAACAAACAAACAAACAAAAAAACAGCAAGAGGCTTCCTTAAGGACAGAGAATCAAAGAAACGAATCAAAGGCCATCTTAGCAGGCAATTCTCTAACTGGCAAAATTCCAAGATGGTGCCCCTAGGACCAAAGACAGGGGAAAGGCCAAGGAAACTGACAACTGTATTGTTTACACATACAGATGATAGCCAGCAGTTAGCCTCTTTGTAACAGCAAAAAGAAAAAAAAAAAAGGAAAAAACAATATTCCTAACTTGACAATGACAACAAACACATATTTTCTTAAATAGTTCATAATGTCCTTACCTCACTGTTTCTTTTAAGCATAAATACCAGGTTAGCATTTCCACCCTATAAAACAAAAAACATACATATAAAAAAATGAAGATCTTGATGCAAAAATGACATTCAGTGTGTTTCTGTGTTAGGCTGTAGCTTTCCATTTTCTACCACAGCCTCTCACTAAGGTAGTGAAGGTTTAAGAGGTTGAACTATTTATCACTGATACCTTGTAAGGAGGTCAGGTCGGTTTGGAGCACCTGAAACAAACCTAATGAAACTGGTCCTGCCAGGACCATGGTAGAGTTATGAATGTAAACACACTGCCCTAAGCCAGTGAGGCCAAACAGCCAATAATGTGGAGCTCTTAACTGTACTATTTGTTTTAAAAATGTGATTTTCCCTGAAAATAATTTTATTAAAAGCAGCAATTCAGGCATCGAAAACAACATCAAAGTGAAATAATTTCAAAGGTTATGAATTCAGAGGAAAGTGCCAAGGAGGTTCATGGTGTATTTTAAAGAGAAATACCTTTTTTAGGCCACTATCTGATTCCGTTCTCCTAAGATCTTGGCCATCATCTCCCTCTTCCTTCTCGCCTCCTAAACAAAAAATAGGGTTGTTTTTTTTTTTAAAGTTGTGAAACAGATTAGCCAAGGAAAGAATATCATATAGGCATCTTGGGGATGTAGTATGTCTGAAACCTACTGATGCCCCCAAAAAGGGGGAGCTGCTTGGTGGCAGCTAAGTGATTATTAATAATTTTACGGATGCAGAAGAAATGGAAGCAGGAACATGTATTATTACTCTTTTAGCTGAGATCTTAGGAAAATCTTTTTTGTTACTCAAAATGAATATGAGTCTGACTGACAAGCTCTTGAGTGTCTTGAAATCTCACTAAGAAATTTGCTGATTGGGAGCGGTGATGTAGCTACTAAAGTACAAGTCATTTTGAGTTGTGTGAGATAGTCAAGGATTGCCTATAAAAGCTCATGACTTCACATCATTTACCTTTTGAAGCATTCATCTGATGGCTGTCAAATCCTCCAAAGGTCTCTGCTCTCCGGGGCAGGGAAACGGGACCGACCACATCTTGCTCAATGGGGCTGCTGACAGTCGGCCCAAGTGTGCCTCCCAGATTTCCACTCACCAAACCCTGAAGGATCTCCACTGGAATAAAGGAAACATGCAAAGCTGACATCTTATCTTTCAATGAGGGGAAAACAAGTTCATAGTATATATGATACGTACAAAGAGCACGACTTGAAAGTTCCAAAGAGTGACTGGGTGAGTTCCTTTGCTCAGAGAAGGGTCTCAGCTCAGGGTATGTGTTTTAGTTGGATTCTACTAGAAATTTAGAGATGAGACCTTCCACTTTATATGCAAGAGGCCTAGGAAATTTGAAAGTGTACAGGGAAGGCAGAGTAATTTACTAGAAGTGACATGGCTTCTGGAATCATATCCAAAGCAGACAGAAGATATTCCCTGGAAAGTAAGATGGATTGATTTGAGAACAGCAAGTAAAACAGTCAGGATTTCTGGCTTTGCCAATATGGAGTGAGTTCAAGGGGCTAGAGTAGTCTAAGAATTTGCATCTCAACTCTGGCCCACTAGGGTTCTTTTCTAGGGTATGGCTCACAGAAAGAAGAAAGTGGAGAAAATGGAATAAAAGTTAAACAGGAGAAAAATAAAAAGATAAAGAAAAAGAAGGGCCAGGTGGAATAAGGGAGGGAACCAATAGCAGGAAATCTGATAAGACAAGCCATATTAAAAAAGAAAAACTACACAAAAATGATAGACGAGTCCTATGGTGTGAGAAAAGCTATCTGAACCTGTAAACTTAAGACACTAATTTCACATAAAAATGAGCAATAGAAAATATTGAAGTCAAATCCCATATAAAGTTAAGAACAGGGAGTGATGGTGGGGAGAACACAGGGTCTAACTTCTCTACAGATAATAAAAGCACATCGGAAAGACATGTCCATAAAATAGGTGACCAAAACACATTAAGAAAATGACAAAAGACAGCTGGGTGCAGTGGCTCATGCCTGTAATCCCAGCACTTCGGGAGGCCGAGGCGGGCAGATCACCTGAGGTCAGGAGTTCAAGACCAATATGGAGAAACCCCGTCTTTACTAAAAATACAAAAAATTAGCCGGGCATGGTGGTGCATGCCCATAAACCCAGCTACTCAGGAGGCTGAGGCTGAGCCAAGATCGCACCATTGCACTGCAGCCTGGGCAACAGGAGCAAAACTCTGTCTCAAAAAAAAAAAAAAAAAAAAAGAAAAGAAAGAAAAGAAAATGACAAAAGACATGAAAGAACTAACTTAGGTCAGAATTAGAAAACACAGAAATGAAATAGCAAAGCTACAAACAAAAGAAAAACAATCATTATAGAAATCAAAACTAAACTAGAATATAAGAGCAAATTAACCCAGCAGAAAATGGCTTAATAAAAAAGAAGGTGAAAGGAAGACCATTTAAACATTAAAAAGATGAAGAGATCAAAAGTATTAAAAGAAAGTGACCAACACTGAAGATAGACAAAGAAGGTCCAACATAAGGATAAATGGAGACCTTGAAGAAGACCAAAGCAAAGGGAACAGGGAAAATAGTACAAATTATAATTCAAAAATAACTTCCTGAAATCTGAAAAATTTGAAACCACATATGAAAACAGAACACTGTGAACCTGACAGCATCAACCTAGGGTAACAAATACCAAGGAATATTCTTGTAAAACTACTTGTACTTAGAAAAAAATCCTTTGGGCATCTAGGCAAAGAGCATGTTACTTACATGGGGAAAATCAAATTATTATCAGTCTCTGATGGCAATACTTTATGCCAGAAAAAAAAATAAAACAACATACTTGAGAGTAATTAATACCTTGGGGAAGAAAATATGAACAAGCCAATAATTTTATATTCAGCAAAATAGGCTTTCAAGTATAAAGGGCATAAATTATTACCAGCATGAAAGAGCTCATGGACTATTACTCTCATGAACCTTTCCTGAGGCACATGCTAGAGAATCAGCTTCACATATCCACATGACTAGAGGGTGACTGACCTAAGAACTTCTGGTAAGCATGAAGTATGTTCACTTACAGAACAAAGACTATGGTCAAGGCTTACAAGGAGAGCATATGGCATGTAACAGTTATAAACTGACAGCGTAGACACAGCACAACTATTTTTTCAAAAACGGGAGAATGCGGACAGCAAGTAAAAGTCATATGTAGTGGTAGCAGCATTACTATTAGAATATATTATTATCAAAATAGTGTTAGTAATACTATTAGTATTACTAACAGTATTAGCAATAGTAATTAGTAAATTAGTATTAGTTAATAGTAATAGTAATACTATTAGTATTACTAACAGTATTAGCAATAGTAATTAGTAATACTATTAGTATTACTAACAGTTATGAGTAATAGGTTGGATAAAGCCAGAAAGTAAATATATAATATTCGAATTCTATGATGTATCCTTAAGAACAAGGATTTGCAATGTGAAAGAAAGGAAATAGAGATGTAATACTAAATAGGTTTAGTTAAAAAAACAAACACTGTAGTCCACAGTTTAAGAATATCAATGTGAATTCGAAAGTGTAAATATAAATTTTCATATACACATTTTATGTTCAATAGGTATTTAAATTATATATGATGTAAAACATATAATGTTATATTATGTTATATAATATATATATAATGTTATATATATGTTTTTCCCCAAGCTCTGTCCACTGAAAAGGCCCAACCTAGTAACAATCAACCTAGCAGCAATGACCACTCCCAGTACCCAGACTGTGGTCTGAAAATATAATTTCCCACTTAAAGAATCCAGAACTCTTGGAGAAATGGCTGATACCAGGACTGGGGCAGAAAACAATTAAGATGAGCCTGGAACAACTTACTATACCAGTAGCTCTAAAAGACTACTATGGTCACGTCCACAGGACTAGAAGCCAAAGAAAGAGGTGTTCACAAAAGGAACATTCTGAGCTTTTAATAAGGTTAGGAATTGCAATGACTTGAAATCCATCAAACGTTTTTTTTTTTTTTTTTTGAGATAGTCTCGCTCTGTTGCCCAATCTGGAGGGCAGTGATACGATCTCAGCTCACTACAACCTCTGCTTCCTGGGTTCAAGCGATTCTCCTGCCTCAGCCTCCTGAGGAGCTGGGACTACAGCCGCATGTCACCACACCTGGCTAATTTTTGTATTTTTAGTAGGGATAGGGTTGCACCATGTGGGCCACGCTGGTCTTGAACTCCTGACCCTCAGGTGATCCACTTGCCTCGGCCTCCCAAAATGCTGGGATTATAGAAATGAGCCACCGTGCCTGGCCCCATCAAACATGTTTCAATTCATGAGTCCATAATAAAAACTATGGGTCACTTTCAGAAGATGTTCATGGTCTTAAAAACTGGTAAATAAATGGAGGGGAAAAATAATCAAGAATTTATCCTTTTATCTTTTCTTATATGTCACAAAAAAAGAGACAACTAGATATTTATGCCTCCTCAATGAAAGAACACAACACTATAAGGGCACAATTTACCAAAGAGATCAAGTCTGAGTAATTAATTACGCCTCTGAATCCAGCTGCAAATCTGAAGGAAACAGACAACAGGACTGTATGAATAAAATCCAAACTGTGGGAAACTCTCTAAGTCAAAAAGCTCAGATTGTTCAAAGATAAATTATATGGAAAAAAAAAGATGGTGGGGGGAACTGTAAATTAAGAATTTTAAGATGCATATCAAAAAACATAAGCAAATTAAACTATAATGTCTAGGAGTAGGCACTTAAGCCATAAAGATATATAAGTAAGTGATTAATGGCCGGGTGCAGTGGCTCACGCCTATAATATCAGCCCTTTGAGAGGCCAAGGTGGGTGGATAACTTGAGGTCAGGAGTTTGAGACCAGCTTGGCCAACATGGTGAAACCCTGTATCTGTGAAAAATACAAAAATTAGCTGGGTGTGGTGGTGCACATCTGTAGTCCCAAGCTACTTGGGTGGCTGAGACAAGAGAATCACTTGAACCCAGGAGGGGGAGGTTGCAGTGAGCCGAGGTTGCACCACTGCACTCCAGCCTGGGAAACAGAGCAGCAAGATCCTGCCAAAAAAAAAAAAAAAAAAAAAAAAGCATAAGTGACTAATTAAAAAACAGTCAGAATAACTGCTCCTTTTGGAGGGAGGGAGGTGTGATGGGGACAGAGCATGTGGAGGAAGGGGCTTCAGGGCCCCTTTAAGTTCTTGATGTGAGTAGTGGTTAAAAGGATATTCACCTGATAATTTACTATAGTGAAATATTTGTTTTGGGTAATTTTCTGCATTTGTGCTTTAAAGTAAAAAAGTAAAAACTGGCAGGTAATATTAGTGTGTAAACCACTCTGGGAGTAGATGAAGAGGGGGCAATGCTGAATGTTAATTACCCTCATTTATTGCACTTTTCATTAAAGGTCCTCCTTTGAGAGCCTCTTCTGTGTTGGAGCGGAAGAGAACTCTAGGGCTATGTGTTGGGGAGCAATCCTCTGGGAGAGGGGTGCTGCACTCAGCCATGTCCCGGAAAATCATCTCCTTCTCTTCCAACAAGAGTAGGATTTTTTGGTCCTTCTGGTGAAGTTGTTCTGCAGGAAGGAGAAAATGATCTGTGATTTGATTGGTGTTTAGTAATTACGAGAATGACTAAGACACGAGCACCACCTTGTGGTAATTTATGGAAAGTGACAAGACAGGACACCCTCCCCACCCACACTGCCTTTTCTTTTTCATCAAGACAGCAATATTGTTTCTGTTCTGTGATTTCTATCTGGAAAACCATTCTGGATCTTTCTGGCAAACCATGGAAATTGTGACATAACAAGTCTGCACTTTGCTTCCACTCCCGTGTCCCCTGTTTACTTCTCAGCCCACTACTCTCTAGCTTCTGTCCACTCTGCAACTGCTTTCCCAGCTCAACTTCATGACTGAATCCAATGAGGTCTTTTAGGTTGTTTTTTCCAGCATTGATGATTACTTCTTCCTTTAAAACATGTTTCCTTCTTTAGCTTTTAGGACACCAGTTCTCTTCCTACCATTCTTTCTCAGGACACTTTACAGATCTGCCATCTGCAATGGAATCTCTTATCTGGGCTCCTGTCTCAGCTCCATCCTGAGCTGTCTTCTTTTTTTTTTGTTTTTGTTTTTGTTTTTTGAGACGGAAAGTTTCGCTCCTATTGCCCAGACTGGAGTGCAATGGTGCACTCTTGGCTCACCGTAACCTCCACCTCCTGGGTTCAAGTGATTAAGCGATTCTCCTGCCTCAGCCTCCTAAGGAGCTGGGATTACAGGCATGTGCCACCACGCCTGGCTAATTTTGTATTTTTAGTAGAGATGGTGTTTCACCATGTTGGCCAGGCTGGTCTCGAACTCCAGACCTTGGGTGATCTGCCCGCCTTGGCCTCCCAAAGTGCTGGGATTACAGGTGTGAGCCACCGCACCTGGCCTGAGCTGTCTTCTTTACCTTACCCACTTTCCTCTTGAGGATCTCATTCATCCCCATGGCTTCAATGACCTTCTATATGCTGATAATTCATTAAACCATCAAAAACCCTCCCCTTTCTTAGCAGCAGACCATGGCGCCCACGTGGCCACCTCTACTGAGATGCCTTGTTCTCAGCACGTGAGAAACCAATCTTTTCTCCAGCCCACTACCTCCTCCCTTTAGTGTGGAATCTCTTTCTCAGTCAACAACTCTTCATCTTCCAGGTCACCTGATTTGGAAACCTGTGAGAGACTCTGTCTCCTTACTCTGTCCTACCACCAACCGACCAGACTCTTTTTTTTTGAGACAGAGTCTTGTTCAGCCACCCAGGCTGAAGTGAAGTGCAGTGGTGCTACCTCGGCTCACTGAAACCTCTACCTCCCTCTGCCTCCCGGGTTCAAGCGATTCTCCTGCCTCAGCCTCCTAAGTAGCTGGGATTACAGGCACGTGCCACCACGCCCAGCTAATTTTTGTATTTTTAGTAGAGATGGGGTTTCACCATGTTGGTCAGGCTGGTCTCGAACTCCTGACCTTGTGATCCGCCCGCCGTGGCCTCCCAAAGTGCTGGGATTACAGGCATGAGCCACCGAGCCTGGCCAACTGATCAGATTTTAATGACCTTATTTCTTACATCTCTTCCTTCTCCAGCTCATTCTCACTTAACCTATCCTAACAGTCTTCCAAATGGTCTTTGTACTTCCAGTGGCTTCCCATTCCCTCAAGCAACTCTCCTAACTATCTTCAACATGTTAAAAAAAAAAATTTTTTTTTTTAATTACATGAGTCCCTTGTTGCCTTTTAATACCTGGTGCATTTCCAGCTTAAGATCCCATCCCTTAGCCCTGACCCTCCAGACACACCGAACCTGTCATTCCTTGGCAGACATGTCAAGTCCTTTTTCACCTTTGCACATAACCACTCTTGTGTGCTGAGATAATTTTTTTCAGATGTAGCTCATGCACCAGCTTCTCTGTGAGACTTACTAGAGGCAGGATGAGCAGATCCCAC
Source organism: Homo sapiens (assembly GCF_000001405.40). Lineage (NCBI taxonomy): Eukaryota > Metazoa > Chordata > Mammalia > Primates > Hominidae > Homo > Homo sapiens. Next base: position 85,728,608 of record NC_000015.10, on the reverse strand, counting down.
ACATGCTAATTGTGCCTGTGGTCTAATAAATCACTGTGTGGCCCATCATTGATGTATGTCTCCCCTGCTAGGGTGTGAGCTTCTCAAGGGCAAGGGCTCTTTTTAAGGAATCTTTGCATCTGTTGTACCTAGCAGTATGCCTAGCCAGGTACTTGACAAAATTTAAAGAAGGAAGATTTTTATCCTTGTCATCCTAATCATGGGCCAATAAATTTGCTATAACTCTGGCTCTGGTCTAAAGCTGTCCATATTTTTAATTTCCCCCTCAGTGAGACAGAATGCTATCATCTGTATGGCTTTAAGGCCTAACCAAACTCCTTAGGTGCTTACATTTATTTAACTCTAAGCCTTATTTCTATCCAAAGCATAGTCTTTACTTTGAAACATTCGATAAGCCACTGGCAAAGAGAAAAGAGCAACAGGCTTTGCTAAGACAGGGAATAGAATTCTGGCTTAGCCACTAACTACATACGTGAGTACCAGGCTTTGCTAAGACAGGGAATAGAATTCTGGCTTACCCACTAACTACACACGTTAACCCTGGGTAGCTTGTCCTCTGTGGGCCTCGACTGTCTCATCGGCACAATGGGGATTAGAATGCCTGTGTTGCAGGGATACTGACAAGACTACACAAAACAGTCAGCACTCAATAAATAAGGGTCAAACATAGATTGATACATACCCTGCTCCCAAAACTTCACCTCACAACTCATTTGTAAACATGCGGATAAGTGATAACGCTAGGGACTGGGGGAGGATTAAATCAGATTAACTGGAGAATTCTTTTCCCCAAATTCCTTTCTCTCCTTGTTTTAATCTTAGATGTGACTACAAATTTTGGCAAATTCGCCTGTGACAAAGTACAGAGAATGTCATGAGGTTTGAGAACACGGATCCTGAGTCAAGAGAATCAATATTCTCTTGATCCAGTACTGGAAACATCCTTGCAGCCATTCTTTACGAGGACCCATGTCAGCCTGGCCTTGGTTTCTCTTTTGTTAACAGCTATTCATTTTGCTGCTTTCAAGTGCCTGCTGGGGCAGCTTTAGAACTGAGGGCAAACCCGTACCTCTAAAATCCACCAGCAGTCTTCTGCAACTGCAGACATTCCAGACAAGGGGCTCAGACCACTCGCAATGCCTCACCTTTTAATTCTCGGGCTCTGGTGTCCAACATTTTCTTTTCTTCCTCATTCTCACTAGGAATTCCTTCATCTTCATCTCTGTTCCTAATACAACCCAAACAAGACAGAACAAAAAATTCCTAAGATGTCAATTACTCTGGTCACAGTCCAGCCTGTTATGAAATCACACAGAGACATCAGGAGGGCTGGGAAGGGTGGGGCCTGGTGGTTAACTTACAGGGTGTTGATTGTGTCCTGAATGATCTGAATCCAGCTGTTTCGTTCCTCTTTGGAGCTGGCATGGACTTCTACCATCTCTGGATCTGTCATCCCCATGCTGATCAGGAATAAACCTTTCTCCTCATGTGCCACTTCTCTCACAATCAGCTTCTTTAAAGAGATCACTGTTGACTTCTGGTCCTGGAAAAAGGGAAGAGGGCAAATAAAAGATACATATACAATATTCTAACTCTGAAGGACAGCTTCAATCTAAGGTAAGACCAGATGCTGTTAAAAAAGCACATAGTTTGAAAAACAAGGGCTACTTTAGGATAAAGAGAAGTATCTCCTTATTTCATTCAGATTTTAACAAAAAAAGATTTCAAAAGGGAAATAGTAATTTATGGCTCTAAAGGTTCCAGTCATGTTTTCCACACGATGAATCTTTCCAGGTTCCCCAAAGAATCCAGTCAGCAATATTATACATGAGCACCATTTATGGGCTCAAATGTGAGAAATGCTCCAGTGACCAGGTTTCTTCATAGATCAAATAGTCAGATGTCCAAGACACTAAAAGAAGACTGTGATGAAACAGAATAATAATTTTTTGGGAAGAGGGGATGCCAGAAAATTCTGAGGGCATGTGGGAAATTACTCAGAGGAATTTGTCCTGAGCCATTTAATTTTAAGAGGGCGGGGGAGAGCAATAACATAGTGCTTACATTCCATAACTAAACTAGCTGCTTATAATACTATTACAAAAATAACAATTCAGCTTACCAATGATGCAAAGATGTACTTCTGGTCTTTTTCTTGAAGGAAAACTAAAATGTCAGTGAGAAGAACTGCTTGAACCTCTGGAAAATGGAAATGGGAGAAGGGAAGATAAAACGATGACTACTTAATAGTTACCCACAGTCAGAAGGTTTTTTATTGAAGGGTGTTTCAGCAACACATACACCCCTATACGGGCAAACTATGATCTGAGATCACACTCCTCCAAAGCAACAGTTTTACAGTTCTCCAGGATTCAGATCTGGTCACCAGATTTTTAGCAGCATTTTAAAATGGGATTTATCACCAAAGCCTTGTTTTGGAAAAGTTTAAGTACTCAGTCCTAGAAAGATATATCCCATAAGACAAGATTTTAAGAATAAAATACTTTTAAGAATAAAGCTGAAAAGCTGGACTTGTACAGATGTTAAACAGCAACACATAGCAGGATACTCCAAAAAATACTCAGATTGCAATATTTTTCGACTTCTAATTACAGTAATGGGAAAGGTGTGGGGCAGGAGACAGGAATGCTGCCCAAAGATGAAGTATAGAAATATCTAAGTCTAATGAAAAGACGTCTTCCATGCCCTCAAAAGAACAAAGAGTGGCCACACAGGCAGGCGCCTTCCAGTCTTACAGGTACATGTGAATATAGGGCTCTTTCCTCAGCTCCATATGCAATAGTCAGCTTAAACTCTAGCTCTGACTAATCCTCTAGGAGTAGGTAGTAACATTTTCCACTAGTCTCCTGAGGATGGTTTGATGTCTCTGGAGTTGAGTCTATCTCGAGCTAGCAGGTTGGCCCCTATGTAACATCTTCACTGTGGAAAGTGAAGTCCACAATTCCCTGGGAAAGGATGGAACTGATTTATGCAGTCCATGCCCCACCTTTTCTTCTACCTCTGCCGCAACTGAAATCCCCTTTCTGTGGAATTCACTGCAAAGCTATGAAGAAAACAGAAGCAAGGACATCTGATTCCTAGGGAGGTCTAATTTTTTTAGGCTAAACTACTGCAATTTTCTGTGTACTGCCATCAGTTATGAAAAAGTTTTTTTTTTAAAGTTTACTTTTAAATAATTCAGGTGCCTGCACCCTCCCCCTCCCCCCAAAAAAGCAGAGACACACATTTTAACTTCATTGAATCTTGAAGTTTATATGATCAGTGTCAGTGGATCAGAGAAAAACAATCCCACCCCTTTCAAAGAGTACCCAACATAGTACTGGCTGTTCTTGGCATGAATTCACTTGGGGGTGAAAATGACTAAACACCAACTCCTATCTCTACAGGAGGCATTCTAGGCCAGAAAACCTATCGTTCTGCCGCTGGCTTGACCACAACTTTATTGCAACAGCTGGAATCTACTAGTTTTTATTTTGGGAATAAATAAATTGCTATGTAAAGGAAAGAATAAAGCGCTGGATCCAGGCAACAGCAGCTCTAGGAAATTCAGGCCTTTACAAGAAGGGGCAGGTATTTCTGAACTGCCAGACAGCGTAAAAGTCTCAAAGAGAGCTAGGGCTCTCAGAACATCATGGAATATTAAGACTGGAGGGAAGGAGCCTTAGTTTAAGTTTATCACAGAACCATGAAATACACAGCCAGCTGGTGGTGGGAAAGGAGATTTCTTTCTCTGAATCTTTTCTGCCCTTCTTTTTTATGCCTTCTGCTACAATGCAGGCCCAGATGAGCTCTTCCCCAAAGCACTGCACAGTCTCTTATCTGTCACCAGTCTCTCTTCACTCCAGCTGCACTCTAAACTGCCCCTAGTTGTCATACTGAAAAACCACCTCATGTATCCCTCTCCTGCTTGCCGTTCTCGTTTTTGAACCCATTCTTTGCCCCCTTCCCTCATCAATAGTATCAACTGTTAACTCCTCAGTCTGGAGAATGCACCTCATTACAACCTGGCCCCTCCCGTTTCTTTGGGCTGGTTTCCCGTCACTCCCCTGTCATTCACTCTGCTCTCTCACGTGAGAGTCCCGGGTGTCCACTCTTCCCTGGATGTGCCACACCCTTTCAACTCTGTGCTTCCACTTTCTCTTCCTTAGTGTGGGGAACACTTTCTCCTTATGTGCCGTCATCCTTCAAGACTTGACTCTATTGCTATTCCTCTTGCTTTCTCCTCCATTCCAGCACTCACCACACTGTAGAGCAGGTATCTCTTTCCAAGGCTCTTCATTTTGATTTCAACTTCTAAGCAGGGTGTCCTGCTTTATTCATTGTTGAAACCAGCTGACTGCCTGGAACTTCTTTACCATTTGTTCTATGCGTGGGCATTTCCTATAGCAGTTATCTACATCATCACTTATACCTCAGAAATGAAAGCAGCACCCATTTCCTCCACCTTCTTTCTATGCCAGTGAGGCTGACAGTACTGGCCTACCCTGCTTCAATGTCCTCAGCTCACTGAGGCCAGGGCGACGGGGTGGGTATAATTCAAGGCTATTGGTGTAACATATAGGCCCATGGAGTATAGGTTTGATGAAAACAAACAAAAAAAATCAAATGTACACATAAATTAAAAAACAAGCCTCATAGCTTCTTTAACTTGATACGGCTGACTATTAGAAATGTAAAAATTAAAACCAAATGGAAAATGGGCATCCTTTATGATTTATTTTGCTTTAAAGATATACGAATATCATAAATTATAACAATAAAAAAATCTAATTGATGTGGGTTAAACTTAACTTTCTATTAGGTGTCTGGAGCTGCAAACTCCTCTAACATCTCTTGTGAACAAGTGATGTGTTTTGAACTCACAGATTCTGTGAAACTCGCTGACTGTGTCTCCCTCCTTGTGAGTTTTGCCACAGATCCCAATTCCAACCTGGCTGTCCATCTCTTATAGGGGAATACACCTTCCTTGACAGCTTGCATATGTGCACCAATCTTACGCTTTGCTTTGTTTTTTTAAAACCTTATTTTCCATTTTCCCTGACTGCATCATTTCTTTGTCTTCTTCCTCTATTTTGTATGATTTTGCAGGCCATCACAAACCATTTTTGATATAAGATTACGAAGAACTAAATGCTTGTTGCTCCTGGGTAGTGTTTAGAGATGGGCTCTCTGGGAAAAAAATCTGGTAGTGAATTTCCAACAAAAGCACTTGGATTTTTGCCTGTTTTACCTGGGCACATACTTAAGACAAAAGAGCCAAGCCTTACCTTTCAACCTTCCTGCTGCATTCTTCAGAAACACACTCCCATCACGTACAAGCTTCTTCCGTTTCAAATCTTCCTTGGCAAACATCTGACCACTCTTCATCCTCATGATTGACTTGCTATCTGTCTTTGTATAAATCTCATTGAGACGCACTTTCTTTTCATAACTTGCCACTTTGCTGTCTACAGCTCCAATCACATCCTTCACCAGGCTCAAGGACTGTGCTAGATCTTCCTGCTCCACTTCATTGTCTTGGAAGGAAAGAATAATTCTGTTTTTTATGGCTCTTTTTGGACAAGGGCAGAAGCAAGGGAATCCTGACTTCTCACTCCATATCATCTTTTCCCTTTGTGACTATGCTATCAGAGGGAAGCCAACACGTCAGAGATCATGTGCCTATCCTTCTTGCTGTCATAAGTTTGATTCTAAAAAAAGTCAGAAGTTTTCAATGATATAAATAATATGCAATCATATGTTGTGCTCTGAAATAAAAGGAACTAAAGACTTCTAGGAGGGACAGTAATAGCAGGAAGAGCAACCAAGTTTTTTTTTTTTTATTTGTTTTACTTAATTTTTAATGTACTGCCTTGTAATCTTTAAAATAACTACCTAGGAACAGAATTAGCCAAGAGAGAGAAACCAGTAATTACTGATTAAGTGAAAAACAGCAGCAATTCTAGCACTTCTGGGAATAACTAGTGGAAATTATCTCCCAGCCTAGTGATAACAGAATACTGTTCAGGTCATTGAACTCTGGATGGAATCAATGTGTTCCCTTTCCTTCTTGCTATCATCTATCCTAAGTCTGGTAACATAACAGTCCAAATTTTCATTCAACAAAATTCAAGATAAAACACAAGGTCTCTTTTAGACATACTAAAGCATGAAATAGCACTTCCATGGGGCTTCCAGTACTACTGGCCACAGAGGAAACAGTCCATGACCATACAAGACCGAGTTAGAAAGGAGACTTACCTTTGGTACACTGCAATATTCTTTGGAATAAAACTGGGTACTTGGTAATCCGCTGAGTTACAAGCAATATGCACTCTGGAATTCCAAGCCTTCTAACAACTGAACTGCTCATCTTCTTCTGCAAGGGAGTAAACAGACTGTGAGGAATCACATGAAAAAGGCTCTAGTGAAAGCCGACAGGGACACATGGCTCTCAACAATAACGGGGATTTTCATGTTTCTTATCAATACCTTTACAAAGGCTTGAAAACGCTTATCCTTGGCATAAAGGTCTTTGAAGTAGTTTACAGACTGGTTATGTTGCCCACAAAACTTGCCATATGTCTTCTTTAAACGTTCTGCATTCTCACCTGAAAACTGCAGAGAAAAGAGAACAGAAGTTATGCCATGGGGCGCCAAACTCATAATACCATTTTGTAAAATGTTTCCAGTCTAGTTGTAAAAGTCAAGAGCGCTTCCTCATAAATTCTCCCAAAAGAATGAAATGGTGCAGCAGCTTTGGAAAGCAGTCTGGCAGTTACTCAAGAGGTTCAACTTTAAATGGGTAGACTATATGGCATATGGATTAAATCTCAATAAAGCTGTTATACAGATTTGAAAAACAACAAAAAATTAAAGAAACTTTATGTACTGTGCACACGGAAAATGCAAAATGTATTCTAACTTCTATTTGTCATAAACAGAGTAATAAAACAATGAGATTCACTAGGAGTTTTTCATGAGACAATCTTAAATATCTGACCTTGATAAGTTAGACAGACATGACAAACAGCCATCATACCTAGGTATCTGTTTGTACTACTTACTTCAGGCCAGCAGTCCTAATAATTCTATGAGGCCCTTAAATCATTCCCAAATGTGTGCAATCTCAATGATTCCTCTAAAGGTATGTTCACTTTGCACTAAATCAATGAATTTCTGTATGCAGTTCATAAAATACATGCTAATTATTGATTTCCATGTACTACAAACCTCCAGAGGCAACACAAATTGATCCTTACCAAAAAACTGGAAAGAAGGATCAGGGTAGATTTTCACTTCACCATTTACCAATGGAGGAGCTGAGACAGAGGGACGGTAAGTTATCTGCTCATATGACAAAGCAAATGCCCCAAAGGTTGATCCTACCACTGGCACACAGAACGAGCAAACGGATACTATGAGTTAAACTGTGAATTCTAGCACCAAAGATCTTACTAGGGGTTGTACACAAGTACAAGGAGGTACAAATGGTAATACAAGTCAAAGTTTGATGAAGTACTAAGTTAGAGAAAGTAAAAGTTAGATGAAACCAGAGAGGAGGGGCAGAGAGAGAGAAATGGAAATGCCCAAGGGGATGTTTCAGGAGGAAAAGTCATCACTTGTAGGTCTTAATTTTGAGCTCTATCTGTTGCAGCTATCTGTGTTCATTTACCGCACTGCATTTGCATTTATTTCATAACATGCTTACTTTTACTCCTAGGAGTTCCCTGAGGCAGAGGCCTAAGCCATATCCCCCTTTGTAGTTCTACCTGGCATTTAATAGATGCTCAGTAAATACCTGAAAAATGAATGAGTGAATGTGCTAATAAATTAATGAAGTGAGGGGTATGGGCTCAAGAACACAAAGGAAAGACAAAATTTACAATTCTCAGACAAATGTTCCAACAATTAAGCCTCTGCTTCTACACAGCAGCAGATATTTGCCCAAAATCTTTGGGGAATTTGCATCTTTGGGGAATCTGCATCTTTGGGGAAATACCTAGTCAGATGTACATGTTATATACCCCTCTGCCTGTAAAGGTTATACTGGCAATGTGTTTTTCAAGAAGAATATTTTAAAAAGAAACATTAAAATCTGTCTATGACAATCACATCTACAAGTACCAAAGTAATTTTAGCTGAATTTTTTGGAGTATGACTAAAACCATACCACACCTTGATGAAAGTATCAACAATACATATTTTATTAAGCATTTTACAGATAGTCACTTATTCAACTTTCTGTGCTTCAGCTGGTTTTTAGACACATGAGATCCTTCTGATTTGAGGCAGAGGGGAAAGTTGAAGATTTCCAACACACACACACACACACACACACACACACAGAGTTTGTTTTTAAATGTTGAGCTGGGGTCTCTCACTCTCTCGCCCAGGCTGGAGTACAGTGGCACGAGCATCACCATGGCTCGCTGCAACTTTGAACTCCTAGGCTCAAGTGATCCTCCCACCTCGGGCTCCTGAGTGGTTGGGACCACAAGTGTGCACTACCACACCTGGCTCATTTTTTCACTTTTTTTTGTAGAGACAGCTCTTGGTACGTTGCCAGGCTAGTCTTGAACACCTGGCTTCAAGCAATCCATCCGCCTCAGCCTCCCGAACTGTTGGGATTACAGGTGTGAGCCAGTGTGCCCAGCCCCAAATATTTAAATAATTTTCAATTTTTTTTTTTTTGAGACAGAGTATCACTCTGTCTCCCAGGCTGGAGTGCAGTGGCATGAGCTCGGCTCACTGCAACTTCTGCCTCCCAGGTTCAAGCGATTCTTATATCTCAGTCTCCCATATGCCACCACGCCTGGCTAATTTTTGTATTTTTAGTAGAGACAGGGTTTTATCATGTTGGCCAGGCTGGTCTTGAACTCCTGACCTCAAGTGATCCGCCCTCCTCATCTCCCAAAGTGCTGGGATTACAGGCATGAGCCACTGTGCCTGGCCATATTAATTGATTTCTTAAACTATACTGTTTCTGATGATGGCACAGACTCTGAGGAAGAAAAACTAAGTTTTACTGAGCATCTATCATATGCATTAGGTACTTTATATATACCCTCCCTTTAACTTTCCAAAATAACATTAGGAGAGAAACCCTACTGTCTGCATTTTACAGAAAAGGAAATCAAGGCTCCAGAGAAATTAAATAAGTTCCCTGAGCTTACACAGATAATAAATGGTAGAAAGAAGATGTGAATGCATGGCTGTGGAACCCCATGACTTCCCTTTTTCCCAGTGTATGTAAGAACCTGAGATCCTTCCCATTCTCACCTGATTTACAAGCACATCCCCTATCCTCTTGATGAGAAAGTTCTTTTCACTTTTATCCACCAGAGACTCCTTCTTCCGCTCCAGAATCCTCTGGAAGAATTGGCTATGGATACTGATCAGCTCATCCAAACAGGGGAACAGCTTTTCTACCATCTGCTGCTCAAAAAGCAGATCCGCCATCATCCCCTGGCTGTACACACCACTCATGATCTTGAGAGTGCGGACATGATGAAACTCTGTCTGCATCAACTCTAAAAGGAGGAAAAAGATCAAGTGTCAGGAACACTCTTTTATAAGCATTCGCCCTCAAAGATCATCTGCTGCAGTCCCAAAGCTAGTTTAGAGCCCAATTTGAACCTTAAAATTGGGTCAACAGCTATCTTTCCCCTAAAAGTGTTCTCGTTTTTTTGTTTTTTTGTTTTTTTTTTAAGACAGGTTCTGGCTCTGTCACCCAGGCTGAAGTGCAGGCTGAAGTCATGGCTCATTGCAGCCTCAACCTCCTGGGCTCAAGCGATCTTTCTGCTTTAGCCTCTCGAGCAGCTGGGGCTGCAGGTACATGCCATCACGCCTGGCTGATTTTTGTATTTTTTATAGAAATGGGGTTTCACTATGTTCCCAGGCTAGTCTTGAACTCTGGGCTCGAGTGATCCACCCGCCTCAGCCTCCCAGAGTGCTGGGATTACAGGTATGAGCCGCTGAGCCTGGTCAAGTGTTTTCGTCTTATTCCTCTATTTTTCACGTGTCCTATTTTCTGATAATAGGTACCCCGGATTCCATCAGTCTTAAATTATGACTTCCAAAGAGGTCTTCACTGGATTCAGCACCTGTCGTAACTGACTGTATACCCAGTTCTCAGAAATGACTTGTGTTTAGTCTAGTTTTTAGTGTAGGTAAGGAAAAAAACTGAGATATCTCTTTCTAGGACTGCTGTATAAATAAGTACTCACATATAAGTACAATGTTCAGTAGAACTGAAAACAGAAGAGTGGGGCAAAAAGGAGATAGGATACCAACAGGACCACGTCTCTGTACCTTAAAGTTTTTAAAGGAAATCTTTTCAAGAAGCCACATACTAAAAAACTGATTTTTCATAGTCCAACAAATTACTGCTTAAAAATGCTGGACAATGGAAATCAAATATAATCAGAGCAAAATGAAGACTCTCACCATATATTACTTCTTGCCGTTTGACCACATCTTTCTTTTGCTGTTTTAGAAACTTGCTGTCTATTATCCGACTCCAAGACTCTGCTTCCAGCTGTTTGGACTCAATCTCAAAGTCTCCCAGTAGTTGTCCTTCATTCATGTCTGTACCTACTCCTCAATATATCAAAAAATCAATATCAGAATCAGGTTTGTGACCTGTAAAATAAGCCTATGTTGGACTTTCCTCAAGATGATAGTTGATTTCATAAGACACATGAATACAGGGGATATTCACAGAGATCATATTCTAGTACCAGAAAAAAATCAATATCCTGTTCAGGAGTGACAGACTCTACATTCGAGACTTAGGTTAACAGTAATAAACATGACATAAATCAAACATGATTAAGACATGACTTCTATCTACACGAAGTTAAGAATTGGAAGGGACCTGGTACCTTTTCATATTTAAGAGAGCAGGCTTACAATTGCTCTGTGAGCTAGAACTGTACATGTAAAAAAGTCTAAGGGAAGGAAAAGATTTGTACTAAAGAGTAGGCCCACATCGAAATAAATGACATCCTTCACTTGACAGCTGCTGGATGAGTCTGATTACGCAGTCATGACAAAGCACTGGACACTTTACTGACAATTTAGAGAATCTTCACGGGATACAGAAGAGGCAGGTACTGTCACTCCATTAAGACTTATGTTCTAGGTAATGACACACACACAGTCCCTACAGAGGCATAAAATAAAGGCCATAACTTCCTCTTACCCTCATCAGTAAGTGATTCTGTTGACTCATTGACCTTGCTGATTTTATTTAGTGAGTCTGTTGAATGAGACAGGAATTTCCAGGTGTTTGACATGTTCTCATCATTGCCAACTCTGGGGACAAAAGAAAAATACATACTGTCAAATACATTCTGATAACCTATGGCTTGCATTCTTAAATGAGTACCTGAAGACTCTAGAATGACAACTGGCTGGAAGTACTACAGTGACTGAAGACAAATTGCTTATGTCGGGGCCACAGCAACATGCACATGGCCTGGTAACAAAGTCGGGAGCATTTAGTATCACTGGAGACTCAAATTCTGAGGACTTTTTGAGCCTTTTTAAAGAAAGTGATAAGAAGCAAGGGGAACTTTCTTCCATCAAACCATGTACACATTATATAAGAAACTTTCTGTTTAAAACTTATTGCCTAACCAATACACTGTTTTTTCTGTTCTCTAGATAACTACAGATCTAGCACTTACAATCAACTATGTTCTCTTTGGACTTTCTCAATCCCAACTCACCAGCTAGCACAGCAGGCACCCAATTGATGTGTGAGTAGACACAATAGCAAGAACACTTTAAAGACCAACTTTTGAAAGTTACAATGCATACAAACTTTAGTAATGTTACAACTTTTGAAAAGTACACTTTTGGAAATAATGAGAATACAAAGACAAAACAAAACAAAACAAAACAAAAATACCTGAAACTTTTTAGAGGAGGAGAAAACATTAGCCAGCACAGAGGTTAGGAATTACAAACAAAAGGAGACTTTTGCATCCTTTAGTTAGGAATTTTGCTCCAAGATAGGTTAAAGAGATACTCTGAGTCCTACATTTGAAATGGCTTATTCACCCGACGGGAAGGCAGGCATCTTACCCAAAATAGTCAGCAACATCATTATCAGCCCCCTGCTAACCACTTGACAGCCAAGGCCTGGCCAGGAGACCAGAAAAGAAACTCAGTGCAAACGAGTGAGTGAGAACCTAATAGTAATAATTGGCTCAGCACTCACCTCCATGAAACTGACTTAAGTGTTAAAAGGCAAAGATGTAAAACAGAGGTAAGAAGAAACAAAACAACCAGGTTTACTTGAACAACAGAAAAGCATGACATCTGTAAGTGGTTGCAACCCAAAATTCTGAATTAAATCACCCTTTTTCCTATTCCTACTTATTTTGATCTAAAAAATCATCTTTTTAGAACTCAGATTCTTCAAAAGTAGGGCTGATGATATACAAAAAGCCTACAGCAACCAGCCTGCTAAGGGTATTTAAAGGAGATCCTTGCGACAGAATGACCATCATGACATGCATCAGAAACATAATCCCCATCGTCCTTGTCTGCACCAACCCATGACCTTATAGATTTATTTCTTAAAAAAAAAAAAAAGCTTTTTGTCATATGATGTGATTATTATGCTCTGGTCACCTAGATGCCAACTGTGCTATCTTTAAATATCTCCACTTACCCAGTAATGTTCTGTATGGAGACACTTTTGGAGAGCGAGACACTCTGCTGGGATCGTCTATTGGCAAATATTGGGGTGGTAGCGGTTTCATCCACCAGGAGGACTGCGGACCGAGGACGCTCCTTGGGCTGTGAGGCTGCAAAAGGAGGACACTAACTGAAGCATCACCCATCCAGCTCCACCTGGTACTGACCCATCTGACAAATAACAAGCAGAAGTAAGGCGCTTTACAGTGGATTTGCCCTGGAACTGTAAGTTTATATAAAAACTCCATGGAGGAGAGGACACTAACTGAAGCATCACCCATCCAGCTCCACCTGGTACTGACCCATCTGACAAATAACAAGCAGAAGTAAGGCGCTTTACAGTGGATTTGCCCTGGAACTGTAAGTTTGTATAAAAACTCCATGGAGGATAGTTTGGTGATAACTATTGAAATTGTAAATGCCTATATTCTTCGATCCAGCAATTTCACTTTTAGGCTATGTTTATTTTACAAGATATACCTGCATATTCGTGAAATGATGTTATGTCCAAAGTTATTCAATGCAACACCATTGGTAAAAGCAAAAGACTGAAAATGACATGAGTATCACAAGAAGACTGGTGAATAAGTTATACTACACCACACAGCAGAATACAATGCCACTTACAAAAAATAAGGACACTTTCCAAGTACTGACACAGATAGATCTATCTCCAAGATCTATTAAGGGGAGGAAAATCAAAGTGCAGAACAAAGTATATAACAGGCTATCTTTCATGCTTAAAAGAAAGAAAAATAATCCAAGTTGTATTTACTTTAACAAGCGAACTCCAGGAAAATAAACAAAAAAAACTAAGAAGAGTGGTTACCTCTGGGGTGGGACAGGCAACGGGGATAAAGAATCCTGTGGGAGTATTACATATTTTAATATTTAAGCTGCAAATAAGATTGAAAGAATTTCTTTTTTTTTTGAAATGCAGTCTTGTTCTGTCGCCCAGGCTGGAGTGCAGTGGCGCGATCTTGGCTCACTGCAAGCTCCGCCTCCTGGGTTCATGCCATTCTCCTGCCGCAGCCTCCCGAGTAGCTGGGATTACAGGCACCCGCCACCATGCCTGGCTAATTTTTGTATTTTTAATAGAGACGGGGTTTCACTACGTTGGCCAGACTGGTCTCAAACTCCTGACCTCATGATCTGCCCGCCTCGGCCTCCCAAAGTGCTGGGATTACAGGCGTGAGCCACTGCACCTGGCCCCAAGATTGAAAGAATTTTAAGGGTAAAAGGAACCTGAGAGATAACTGGGAGCAGCGTTCTTTAGGACCGTTCACCATGAAGACATCTGGAGTGCCTGTTAGATATGGAATCTCAGCCCCCCTTGTCTTCTAGGGGTGGAACCCAAGAGTCTACATATCTTACAGGCTCAAGTGATTCTTCTGCGCTCCCTGCTAGCGAGCATAGATTTTGATGATTTCCTTTAATTTACAGATGAGGAAAATTTAACACTTGTTTAACACCTGTAACTACAGATGACCCCTGAACAACATGGGTTTGAACTACATAGATCCCCTTATATGTGGAATTTCTTCTGCCTCTGCCACCCTTGAGACAGCAAGACCAACCCTTCTTTTCTTCCTCTTCCTTCTTGGTCTACTCAATGTGAAAACGACAAGGATGAAGACCTTTATGATGATCTACTTCCACTTAACAAACAGTAAATATATTTTCTCTTCCTTATGATTTTTAAAATAACATTTTTTCCTTTGGCTTAATTTATTGTAAGAATACAGTATATAATACACATAACAAACAAAATGCATTAATTGACTGTTTATGTTATTGGTAAGGCTTCTGGTCAACAGTAGGCTATTAGTAGGTAAGTTCTGGGGGAGTCAAAAAGTTTTATGTGGATTTTTGACTGCATGGGGGTGGGGCTGGCACACCTATCATCCGAGTTATTCAAGGGTCAATTCTAAATTGTTCTCATAGTGCATATTTCTCATTAACATGACTAAAGAGGAAACTGGAGATCTAATTTGCTAAAGTGGTCACGCTGGCACTTGGGAACATTTTTCCCTGGTAATGGACTTGCTGTCCCATTCACAGGTTGCATTATCTGTCCATCCCCAGGAGTGTCAAGAGGTGAAGGAAATAAGACTGGGGTGGTAGTTATGACTTCACAGTATTTCAGGATGTCTTTGACTCAATGAGCATTAATATAATCATTAATTTCCAATTCAAATTCTATTTACAAGATGATGACACAATAAAATAGCAGAAACCCGACATTCTAAAACCTGACCAGATTCTAGCTGCAGAAAGTACACAAGGATTATGGGATGTGGCCCTACCCCTCTGCCCCCACCCCCACCCCCACCCAAGAGAAAAAGAGCAAGTGGGTAGAAAAGAGAATGAGCTTAAGAGTTAAAGGGCCTGGAGCATAACCTGAATGTTTCTGAAGGGAGGTCACTGAGCGGATAAAATCTGATGGAGGAAGAAAACACTAGTTCTTGAAGAATTGCAAGGATGTGGATGGGTCAGAAGAAAAAAGAGAGGACAATTCTGATGAGAAGAACCATGGAATGAAGGCAGAAGTAATTATGTAGTATTAATGTAAAAGGGAGACACAGAGTAGAAGATGAAGCAGGTAGAAGGAATCAGTGAAAGGGCTGGAAAAGCAGAATGATGTTAGGCAGAGCTCATAATAACTTGTATCTAAAAGCCAGCATAGGGGGGAAGAAAATAACAGCTTTCCTTATTTGTAACCAATCCATATTCTACCCAAGTAAGTGACTCAATATTGCTGTTTCCTTATTTGTGATGATCATAGCAGTGAAAGCTAACACTTAAGGAATGTTTACTGCTAAGTACTTTATAGGTATGATCTGATTTAAACCTGACTACCACCCTATGATACTATTATCGTCCCCTTTTACAGAGGAAGAAAATGAGGCACAGAGAGGTTTGGTAATGTCCAGTTACACAGCTCTTAAGCAGTGGTGTCAGACTTGAATCCATACAATTAGAATTCACAATCTGTACTCTACACCACTATGTTGCCTCAGTGGAGTACAACAGGAATAAGAATATTTGTGGGAGGGCCAGGTACAGTGGTTCACGCCTATAATCCCAGCACTTTGGGAGGCCAAGACAGACAGATGCCTTGAGGTCAAAAATTCGACACCAGCCTAGCCAACATGGTGAAACCCTATCTCTAGTAAAAATACAAAAATTAGCTGGGTGTGGTGGCTCACACCTGTAATCCCAGCTACTTGGGAGGCTGAGGCAGGAGAACTGCTTGAACCCAGAAGGCGGATGTTGCAGTGAGTGGAGATTGTGCCACTGCACTCCAGCCTGGGTGACAGAGTAAGACTCTTGTCTCAAGGAAAAAAAAAAAAATACTTGTGGGGATCAAAGGTAATACTCATGAACCTTGCACATAATAGGCATTTGTTTTTAAGAAAGACATGAAAATAAGAAAGAAAACAGACTTCTGAAACAACAGATAATGTCACAAGAAAAAAAGCATTTTAGGAAGCTAGACATAAAAAGTATGTGGAATGGGTAAGATCACAGACTAAAAGTGGGTATCAACCTGGAGAAGCTCCTCTTCTAGTCATCTACGTGTGAAGATGGATAAAAACCAGATTAAATATATCTAAAGGGAATCACTCTCTTCTGGGAGTGTAGACTAGTATAGCCATTCAGGAGCTATCTGGAAGTACTCAGAGAAACTGGGCATAAAGGAGCGGTTTTCAAGCTTGAGTGGGCATCAGAATCACCTGGAGGATCTATTAAAACACAGACCAGGCTGGGTGCGGTGGCTCATGCCTGTTATCTCAGCACTTTGGGAGGCCAAGGCATGAGGACTGCTTGAGGCCAGGAGTTTGAGACGAGCCTGGGCAACGTAGTGAGACCCCGTCTCTACAAAAAAATTAAAAAATCAGCCAGGCATAGCGGCGCACACCTGGAGTGCCAGCAACTCAGGAATCTGAGGTGAGGGGATTTCTTGAGCCCAGGAGTTTGAGGTTACAGTGAGCTATGATCACACCACTGCACTCCAGCCTGGGTGACAAAGCAAGACCCTGTCTCTATTAAACACACTCCCACACACCACAAAAAAACACAGAATGCTGGTCCCATCCCACGGTTTGTGATTCACAGATCAGGGTGGGGCCCAAGAATCTTTACTTCTAAAAAACTACATTTTCAAGAACACTGCCTGGGAAAAGTCTCACAGAGGCTCCCATGGAGCCAGCTAAGAAGATATTAATCATTGCATTATTTATGGTAGTAGCTGGAAGCAAAGTAAATATTCTGTCTCTAGGGGAACTTTAAATGTGAAATATGCTTATGAAAGAATACCATGCCATAGTCTGAAACAATAGCGTACAATAACATGCATATCTCAAAACAATATTGAGTGAAAAAAATAAGCAGAACATATAAGCATAAGTCATATTATCTAATTTAAATTCACACAAAATAATACATTTTTTTCAAAGTATACATATGTCTAAAAATATGGCAGATTAGAAGGACATACATTAAATATACTAAAGTAGGAATGAGACAGGGAATGGGGAGTGAAAAGGGAAAAGTATCAGTAAAACCAAAGTGGAGTCTTCTATGCACTGGTGAAAATGGTTTGATGTGAATGGAAGAGTGTGATTTACTCAATTCTGAATAACATTTGAGGTCCTTAGAAATAATAAAAAAAAAGAACTATTTTCTATAACTTCTCAGTTTAGAAAGAAGTTTAGGCCGGGCATGGTGGTGCGTGCCTGTAATCCCAGCTATTGGGGAGGCTGAGGCAGGAGAATCGCTTGAACCAGGGAGGTGGAGGTTGCAGTGAGCCGAGATTGTGCTATTGTACTCCAGCCTGGGCGACAGAGAGAGACTCCGTCTCAAAAAAATAATAAAAAAAAAAAAGTTTAACAAGCCAGATCTCATTTGATTTGTATGATTGTAAGGCACTAAAAACAAGTCTTTTAATTCTCAACTACTATTAAAGAGGAAGTTGAGATGCGCAGGGGTCACTTGCTTAAACACACAGGGCAAAGGTGCTGCCTTTAAGCTAATACACAGACTGTTTTAGAGACCTTCCAAGAGGGTTTGATGGTATAATGTTATATGGGTAAAGGAATCTGCAGGATAAAACAGCAGCCTTCTCTCACTTACCACAAAATAGGTATTCATATCTTGACTATGAATAATAACTGAATATTACAACAGCATTTTTACATTCAGAACCAGAAAGTCAGAAAGGGAATTGAGAGGTGGGCTGAGCTACTTACGCTTGTTTCTCATAATGACCGTGGGCAGTGATGATGTGTCATGTGCCTGAAGGCTCCCTTTGGGCTGCTAAAGAGAAAGAAAGTAAGTCCATTGACAATTCACCTCTGACAAGCCCTGAGAAGCCGAGTAGGAAGGGAGCAAGCAGTTCAGCTTCCTTTCCCACTCTGCTTTTTGCACTGCCCTAAGCACCCTGTGTCCCAGCCACGGTCGCCCCCAATTGCCATCCTCTAAGCCTGCCACGTACTCCAATGCCGTAGATGCTGTCTATCCTGCCTGGAATGCTTTTCTCACCTTCAGAAGCATGGCATTCTTCCCCTTTAAGACGATTTAAGGGTTGCCTCCTTGGTAAAGCCATCTATAGCTTCTCTCCTCTCCTCACCCAAGGCAGTGACTGGCACCTTTCTCATTTATAGTAACTGTCCGTCTTCCCCAGTAGATTGCTGGTGCCTTAAGGGCAGCATCTTTTGACTTTTGCATTTCATTTCCAGTAACTAGCATTTATAAGGTGCTAAATTATTGGGTAAAATACTAATTTTAGTTAATACTTTCGTTGTAGCCATGTAGCAAAAATACTTTGAGAGATTATACACTGAAGCGATTAATCTGAGATAAATCATTAGAAGAAATAGGTTACTTCCTATTTAAAATGAAATTCCAGGCAGGGTGCGGTGACTCACACCTGTAATCCCAGCACTTTGGGAGGCTGAGGTGGGTGGATCACCTCAGGTCAGGAGTTTGATACCAGCCCAGCCAACATGGCGAAACCCTGTCTCAACTAAAAATATAAAAATTAGCTGGGCATGGTGACGGGCACCTGTAATCTCAGCTACTTGGGAGGCTGAGGCAAGAGAATTGCTTGAACCTGGGACATGGAGGTTGCAGTGAGCCAAGACTGTGCCATTGCACTCCAGCCTGGGTGACACAGTGAGACTCTGTCTCTAAAATAAAATAAAATAAAATAAAATAAAATAAAATAAAATAAAATTCCCCCTTTTAGGTTATATTCTCTTATATGGGAGATGCTATGTCTCTATCATGATCATTCTGTATAAACTAGTACATTCACAACAATTGAGTCTTATCAGAGATCACAAACTCAAATGACTATGGTGCCGGCAGGCAACAAATGACAGAAGCAAGCTGGGGTGGGGTGGGGTGTGGGAAGGCAGTGGCAGCCTGGAACTGGCATATCCTGTCTAAAGGAGGCAGCACCACTCAGCTCCAGCCATCCCTCCCTCCCTGTGAGGTGCTCAGGCGCCACTGATGGAGCCAACTCCTGCCCTCAGCCTGCTTAATGAGTTTGGAGCTTATATTCTAGTGGGGGGAAGATACAGACTATAAAAAACTATATAATAATAAATAAAGATGGGTAAATACAGACTCTAAGAAGGTGATAAGTACTATGGAAAAAAGGAAAAACTGGGAGTGCTGGGTACAGGGAAATATCAGGGAGCCAAGGGTTATAAATCTTCCAGTTTTTTCAGGAGAACTTAAGAATCCAAACTGATATAAAACATGATTTTGAAAGAGCTGCACTAACTCACATTTTAAAAATACTACATGAGCCAAACAAAATATGTGTCCATAGGCTAAAGAAGATCTGGCTATCCTATTCTTTGCCATTTTGACACTAGTTTTAGTGCTTCTCAAAGTAAGGTCCTCGGACTATCAGCATCATCTGGGAACTTACTAGAAATGCAAATTCCTGGACTCTCCCCCAGAATCTGAGACTCTGGGAGTGGGGCTCAGTAAGTTGTCTTTCAATAAGCCCTCGAGTTGATTCTGATGCACATTCCAGGTTGAGGTCATGGCACTAGATAACTGTGTTTGGTGACTGACGAAGCACACAGCTCATTAATCATCTGTGTCGACGAAGTTGGAAAGCACTCCTTTGACAAGGAATGAAGAGACACTTACAGGCGACTAGAACATTGAAAACCTCACAGGCTACCTAAAAGGTATGGCCCTTAACCCACACTTTTTTTTAAGGGCCACTGGGAAAGCATGATTACATAGCATACATGCTCAGGGCAGATACCACCATAAAACAGGCACTTTCTATTCTTACGTCATGTGATCAGAGCCACCTATATTACATACCTGAGGAGAAAAGTGCTACCAGACAGGCTGGGGCTAACCATAACACCCTCCCCACCCCCACCAGCAGGTCAATGCCCCTGACCTCCACCTGCTGCCCTGATAGTCCTGAAGGAGGAAGACAGGTGTATGAACAGCAGGGTAGGCCTGCAGACGTAGTTAAGAAGAAAACCACTTTAAGAGCAATACGGAAATATTAAAATCACGAAGAAATGTATATTGAACGTGAAGAAGTTCTGAAAGCGTTTTCTTTTCTGAAAGTCTAATTCTCCAGTGTTACTCAAGAAGAAGATTGATCGCTTAAGAGAAAAAATATTTTTTAGTTATAATTTGTTCTCAAAGTTGGTACCAAATGATTAAAATAAACAAAATCCACCACAACCTCAACTCTCCCAACTCCCGAGGATTTTGCTGGTTTAAACCCTTTTATTTTAAGCCTTGTTTTAGCCAGAAAGTCTTACCTTCATTTTGACCTTTGCACAGGAGGCTAGACTTTCTCGGCAGCCTTTGTGGACAAAAGCACTGCAATCTGAAAAGAAAGCAAACCCAAGGTCACATGGACAAAGCAAACAGATCCCAGATTCTGAGTTTCCACTGCTGCCACAAGTGGCCTCTGAATTTCAAAGTGAAGTCACTCACATGTGAGAATGTGACTGAAATTACACACTGCAGTCCTCTTCTAGGAAGCAGGTCTGTGATGTTATTTGGAGGAGGAAAAACACGAGCAGATGTGATTTTTTTTTTTTCGGTGTTTGTGTCTTTATTTGGAGACCAGGAGACAGATTACAGCTTAATGAGAGGAACAACGACTCAAGTGATCTGATGGGAAGGGTGAGTTTCCTGGCCCTTAGGAAGCAACAGATGTGATTTCTAATCAACAAAAACTAGTAAGTCTGGAACTTTTCAGACAGGAAGCTGAGAGGCTACCAAAACTAAAAGTGAAAGTGTCTGCCATCAATGTGTAAGTCTAAATTACAAATAAATACATTAATAAAGCCCCTAACAGGGGTTACAAAATTTGTATGACTGTAATAAAGCACAGAATATAAAATCTGAAAAGCTTAACTACGCTGGGCTTTTTGCACCCCATTCTCTGAGACAGGAACCACACATGAAAGGTCACTGGAACCCCCACATGCACCTCTGGGAACTGTGACTTAAGAGAAAATGGAGACTTCTTGAAAGATAAAGCAGAAACCACAATTTGGCAAGGACAGCATTTTATCTCAATTCCTTTACTTTTCACTCCCTTGGCCTACAAGGGCCACTGACGTAAAAACCCAAGCCTCTGTGTCTCAGAAGGCTTACCATCAGCTCTCAGCGCTGCTATAAAGTCACATAACAGAACTGTTCCAGGAAGCCAGAGGTAAAGCAGAAACAAATGAAAGATCGGCCTGTGGGGACACTCGAGGAGACACTCTCATGGGAAGGGCTCACTCAGGAAATCAACCACAGATACCATTCACTAGGCAATGCCTCACAGACTGATTCAGGAAGCATCACAGGTCCTGTCTACATCAACTCACCAGTTAAGGGCCAACATCTCTTTTGGGCCAACATCTCTTTTAGCCCAGACACATGGATTTGTGGGGGACTGGAGTGATGATGGGGAGGGAAGGAAACCAGAAAGGAGACTGCTAGAATCCCAGACCTCAAAGGCCTATTCCATGCCTTTTGTAACACTTCCTTTAACACCCACTTGGTTCACAGGTCTCCTCCTTAATACCACTGGCACAGTGTATTGAGACTCTCTTAGGTTTTTCTCTATCCCCTCTCTGGGGCAGGGACCATTCACCCACTGCTGAATCTTCAAATTAAGACTCTCCAGCATAGTGCCTAGCTCATGCATCCTATTCAAATGCTCCTCTCTCGGCCCTACTATGCCTATTTAAACTAAAATTAGATGAATGCGCTGACACAGCCTTGATTACAGTATGTCAAACATCAATTTAGTAACACAAAAGGACAAACAGCTGTCAAACTAAATTTGACGTAGGTCCTGGCTCTGCATGTATGTATGTACTAGTATGACCCTAGTCCCTTCTTGACAGGCCTCCGTTTCCTCATCTATAAAATTAAAAAGGAGGAATCACATTTTCCCCCAGGTTCCCTCTGCTGTGATTCTATCAGATGGGTAAGTGAGTTTCAGGCTGCTGGACCCACAGCAAGAAGCATAACAAAGTGGTCGAGGCAAACGGCTTTATTTATTTTCTAGTAAGCCAAAACATGTTTCTGCCCATCCTCACGAGCACTATTCTTACTCAGGGTGTATGGTGCACCTCCCCTCCTCTGCCACAGAGATGCCCAGGACTTGCAGCTGGCATGCTCCTTTCTGGTTTCTTCCTCTCCCATTAGTTGATCCATCATATCCTTCCCATGCACAGACTTGAAAGCCCACCCCACTCAAACCCTTTCTCTTCACAAATCCCCACTCAGCTAAAGTCTTTCAAATACATCATCTTTAAGTCCATTTCTCTTTCCCTTCTACAGAAAAAGTATAAAAAGACTATGAAAAGGCAAAGTCAATGATTAGTAGATCTATGTTTTTCAGCGTGCTGAATCCTCAATATATAATGCTGAAGAGAATAAAGCAAATTACAAAAAGAGGTACTGTATGGTAGTATTTATGTAGGTTAAAAACAAAAACAAATTATATGTTGTTTATGTATGAAAATAAATTATAAAACACAGACTACGAATGCACTGAATTCATGACAGTCCTTGTCCTTGGGGAGGAAGGAAGATGCATGGGGCAGGGAAACAAAGGGGAATCTGAACTTAACCATAATGGTTTCTTAAAAAGTGAAACAATCTGAAGCCGTCTGACAGAATGTTACTATGTGTTCATTCTGAATCATGGACACATATGTGATAAATTACCTATGTATAATACTTTGTATTAACATTTTTCAAAATTAAAAAAAATTTTTAATTTTTAAAAAATCATCACACTCTAATGTCGTTCAAAGTTCCTTGGATTTGCTTATAAACATTTCCATATCCTTTTGCATAATCCATTTATCGCATCTTGTGATAACTTAAAGATAAGATTTTATTGTCTTATAATCCAGTTAAAAAAGTATATTTTTTTTCTTTTGTTTTATTGAAAATCTATAATATTTTAGGCACCTAAGGGCAACACAGGAGGTGGCAGATTTGCTGGAGAACCAGCTACTAATTCTGATCTGCAAAAGTGACCAAGAACACTATGGGCAGAATTTGTTTCCAAGTTCTGTTCTTTCTGTTCCTTTCTTCCCAACCAGTTCCAACACCCTACAGAGATTTAAGCAATGATGATTTTTAAGGGAGTGGCACTATCACGTAAAAAGGTTTCAGCAATATTCAAACTCTCAGGCCAGTGTTTGAGTGTCTGAGATGAACATAGAAGCAGAAAAAAATCATTTAAAATGTGCTTCTAGTAAAGAACTTTTCACATAAATTCACTTTTAATTAATTGAAACATGTCCCCAAACCCACAACCCAGCTGGAAGTTTAACACGCTCTATATTATGGTCATGAGTTTTCTCTTAGTGATAGTTTGCATGGACATCTCCTTAACATGCTGAAGTACCTACTTGAAAAACACTCAACTTGTTTCCAAGTTGTCCTGGACTCAATTCACAGTGACAGTTTTAGAGCTGTGCGTGGGTGATTTAGAAACTTCAGCCCCACTGACATCAGCCAAAGTCATGAGACTAAAATCTTACTCTCTGTTTGGGAAAACAGAAAATTACCAAGAACACAAGAATTGAAGACAAATCTAATACATTTTTAAGCTCTCTGCCACAAACCATACCATGTTGTTATGAAGATCAGAAAATAATTATCTGGCCTTTTATTTATTTATTTGATAGATTTCCTAATAGCAGTAGGCAATATGCTTTCATTTTTTAAAATTCTTCAAAAAGGTCTCAGCACAGTGGTTTATGGGAACAGAGCTGATCCCTAATCGGATTCCTCTGTACCTAAAACAAACAGTCCAGCCTTCAACTTCTTTCTTTGCTACAAGGAGGCATCAAACCAAAGAAAATGAAGTTAAACCCACATGACTGGAAACTATCATCTATCTATTGCTGTATCTTTTTTTTAACCCATGCCACCAACCACCACAGATCTTTGGCGAATGGTTATATACTATGTGTTTTTTATCTTTCGGAAGAAAAATAAAACAAACCATTAGCGAGGCTAACTTAAGAAAATCAACTTTATACAATGATAAGAGGAGTGGCCATGCCAAACTGAAATGAAATGACAGAATATCAAAGGACTGCCTACACAGAAACGAGCCACCTTTGGGAGCTGAGTCATATGCAGCCAAGGCTCTGACAAAAAAGGTCTTCCAGTACTTCAGTTCATTGATCATCACTTGGGAATAGGCTGAAGACTTCTGACTGTTCTGCCTACAGATGTGAGCAGCAAAATCTAACTGGGAAAAATGACCTGATTCTTCTCCAGGACACAAGTTGAGGAATTACCTTTAAGGATAGAAATGCACAACTTTCTCCTATCATTTCAACTCTAACCAAGAAAATGAAAATAAAACAAAAAACAGTTAAATATGAGCAAATTTAGAAATGCATGCTACAAAATTCTTTCTGCAACTTTAAACTTCTTGTTTAAAATCTTTAACAGAGACCCTGTCTCTCAAAAAAAAATTATTAAATATATGTGTGTGTATATATATATATATATATTTTTTTTTTTTGAGATGGAGTCTTGCTCTGTCACCCAAGCTGGAGTGCAGTGGTACGATCTTGGCTCACTGCAACCTCTGCCTCCTGGGTTCAGGTGATTCTGCTGTCTCAGCCTCCTGAGTAGCTGGGATTACCGGTCCATGCCACTACGCCTGACTAATTTTTTGTATTTTTAGTGGAGATGGTATTTCGCCATGTTGGCCAGGCTGGTCTCAAACTCCTAACCTCAGGTGATCCACCCGCCTCAGCCTTCCAAAGTGCTGGGATCACAGGCGTGAGCCACGGCACCTGGCCAATAAATAAAATCTTTGGGGGATTTGAGACATCGCCCTATCTGGACTAAGAGTGCTTATATGCAAAAGGCATGTGAGATGTTCTTGGTAGCTGGTGTAATAACCACAGTGCTGATGTACAGAACAAGAAGAAAGCCACAAAAAAGAGCCAAATCATCTCAGCTGAAGTAGCCCCAGCAGCAGTTTTCGTAACAACACTGGTAAACAAAAATGAAATAAAATGAAAGTATTCTGCTTAAAAAAGAATTGCCTTTATTGCTTA
The DNA here is from genome assembly GCF_000001405.40 of Homo sapiens. Lineage (NCBI taxonomy): Eukaryota > Metazoa > Chordata > Mammalia > Primates > Hominidae > Homo > Homo sapiens. Next base: position 85,703,298 of record NC_000015.10, on the reverse strand, counting down.
GGGTCTTTTTTTACCTTCCTTTTCCCTAAGTAATAAACTTCCTTCCTTTAATCAACTATATGTATTTTATTCTCTCATATAAGCAATGAACTATAAATGCCAGAAAACTGTCTAGAGGGCAACTTTTCTGATGAAATCAGAAGTAAAATCTAACCATCACACACATTCTAAATTCTTATGTTTCCTACTTAGATTGCAGCTGGTTTACTTGTTTATTTTTTATGTAAAAGAAACAACCTACCACAAAAGTACTGAAATGCTGCTAGCACAACAGAAAATAAATCAGCAATAATCTCAGTATCATTTTACATCTGTTTAAAGCAAGCAAAACAGAACCACTGGCAAGACCCCAAAACCTGAACATAACAAATTCCTTATTCTGAAAGACCCCACTAAGTCACTAAGCTTTTCAAAGAACAAATTATTTGTGGCAGCTGGAAAGAACAGCTGACTATTCAAGGACAGCTTTACATAATAGAGAAATAAGAGTTGAAAAGACATTCCTCTATTAACCCTGTTAAAGTCACCTAATCCTAAAGCAAGAGTAGCGTTTTGGCTGAGATAAAAAGTCCCAGTTTCTTGTATAAACCATCATAACATATCATCATGATGGACTATATGGCTGATCTTTCTAACCACAAGTCAAAGGTGACTATGCAGTGCTGAGGGTATGAAGCTCTATCCAGGGGTCAGCCAAACAGGGTTACACTTAACCACAATGGGAAGCCACTGTCTCCTAAGAGCACAAAGGTTTCCTAGGAGGTAAACGACTAACTGCATGGATGCTACATTTCCTACGACTCCTGGGAAGATCCTGGACATGAGACGCGATGGAGGGAAGTGACGAAAGATTCTGCGTCCCCAAATTACTCATATTTTCTACTTCCTGCCAAGATAACACATGGGACTTCCTACATACAAACATTCAGCTTCTTCAGGAAGCTGAAGATAATCAGCCCATTACTTTGGTTCCTTTGAGAAGATGACTACATACTATTTTGTTGCTTTCAATCCTTTTCACTCCTTTTGTGTGTGTGTGTGTGTGTGTGTGTGTGTGTGAGTCTTGCTCTGTCACCCAGGCTGAAGTGCAATGGCGCGATCTTTGGCTGACTGTAACCTCCGCCTCCCGGGTTCGAGCAGTTCTCCTGCCTCAGCCTCCCAAGTAGCTGGGGATTACAAGCGCCCACCATCATGCCCAGCTAATTTTTTGTATTTTTAGTAGAGACGGGGTTTCACCATGTTGGTCAGGCTGGTCTTGAACGCCTGATCTCGTGATCCACCTGCCTTGCCCTCCTAAAGTGCTGGGATTACAGGCGTGAGCCACCGTGCCTGGCCTACCCCCTTCTTTTTATAAGAGGCAGGCTGCAGACTGTCTTACATAAACCTTAATGCTATCACCAGATGTTGAGACTATTTCTACATTACTTCTGGAGTAGGGTGGTATGCAAATTAAAGAATGTATTTTTGAAACTTAGTGCATATTAGGGTAACAGTCAAGCCCAACTTAAACTATTCCTTTTTGCTGTCTGATACTTTTCAGTTTAAACCTCAAATATAGCCAGGCATGGTGGCTCACGCCTGTAATCCCAACACTTTGGGAGCCTGAGGAGGGTGGATCACCTGAGTCAGGAGTTCAAGACCAGCCTGGCCAATATGGTGAAACCCCAACTCTAATAAAAATACAAAAAAAAATTAGCCAGGTGTGGTGGCGTGTTCCTGTAGTCCCAGCTACTTGGGAGACTGAGGCAGAAGAATCGCTTGAACCTGGGAGGAGGAGGTTGCAGTGAGCCGAGATTGCGCCACTGTACTCCAGCCTAGGTGACAGAGTGAGACGCCGTCTCAAACAAACAAAAAACAAAAAAAACCCCTCAAATATGTTAACTCTTTTTCCTGGTTTTTGCTGAGCAGGTAGAACTAAGATAATCTCTGATATTTGATTAGATCAAGCCATTACCAAAAATCAAAGAACAACTAGCAAAGGTTATTATGACCCCTGTCCCCACCGACAGACTTCCCAAACAGAAAAGACTTTAGTCTAGTGATAACACACTGGACTTCATGAAATAACGTGCCTCCAGAAAAAGCAAATTCCTTGGGTGACTTCATATTAAAAAAAGTCCCATTCCACTTATAAACACTATTAGCACAGAACCAGTAGCCAATCCACTATTTCACTGGTTTTCCAAAATACTAGAAAAACTCTAAAAAGTCTTATATGAAATATTAATATACTGTGTTCAGATATGTAAAACAGTACAGATTTATTTTGAGTTGCAATTTTAATATTTACTTTCAAAGTTAATGAGAACAATGAAGCAGCTGTGATGAACTAAAAACGTGAGGTCAGAGGTGCATGACATTCGCAATTCACTTACCTACCACAACCTCTAATTTCTTTATTTAATTTTGAGTACATGACACAGAGAACATCTTAACGTTCTTCATGTAGATAAATAACCAATATTAGCAGTTTTTTTTTAATGGCTTGCCTTGCAATCACAGTATAATCTTCAATTAATTAGAGATGGAAGGAAAAATACAAATGAATAGGTAGGCTGATAGCTAAAGCTGATATGTTGATGTTAAAATTTGGGAATTATACCTTTAAGAAGGTACGTTTTTATGTAGTTTTAAATATACACAAATTCAGAAATCTGTGGAGCTTCCAAACACCTGACATCCTGAAAGCTACCGCCCTATCCATTAAACTAATTACTACACAGAAGTGTGGCTGAGAATCTCAGACCCTCAAACCTTTCCTACAGTTTTCCCCAGTCAATACCAAACCCTACACAAGTGATTCTCCACGGGTACCTCTGGCATCGTTGGGCAATGGAAGTCTCCAAGAGGTAACCCAGATCTTGCTCTCCAGAGGCGGTTCTAGCACATACGACACTGATAGCATAAGGAGTCTAATAACTTGTGGTGTCCTAGCTATGTGTGCTTCATCATCCAGGGAGTCCAGTAAAAGAGAATTTCTATCATGTTTAACAGGAAGACATATCAAGAAAGCAAAAATGGGCTTAGGATGCCTGTGCATTCTCCTACATTAACTGAATATTTCTGCTATCTGATAAATTTATTATATGCCAGTTACAGGTTTAATTCTGAGTGATAGTCTAATGTAGACAAAGACTTAATATAGCCAAAGAGGGCAAATTTCAACTATTTGTAACCTAGAAATAATGTATATACACAAGTCAATGGCAATACAAGGCTAAATATACACTGGCATATATTAGACAACTTCTTTTAGCCTGAACTTAAAATTGCAAAATTATCTGGAGCTAGTCATGGAAAGGTACAGCCACTCATTATAACCATAAGCCAACGGTTCTTAAATCTATTGTCCTCTATAGCACAAGATTCTTTGGGTCTTCAAAAAGACTGTCTATAACTTTCAACCTTAAATCTCCTGATAATGTTTCACATCACAATCCAGAACTGAGAGTTGGTAGATCAACTATACTACTTCTGATTCAAGCTGGTGCTATCAATAACAGTGGTAGAACAACTCTCCTCAAGGCTTATAAGCTTACTCTGTTCTGGTAGTAATTCTGCTTTGTCCATTAAATTCTCAAATCAAATACCAACTTATTTTGTGCCTTCATCAGAGATCAGCTGATAAATAACTAGAAAAACCTTTGAAACTATCAGTGGTCCAATATTTACATTTTGTTTTTAGACATACAAATAATATGTAAGTACATTCTCTAAAAATTCAAACAATCTAAAAGAATAAAATAAAGAGTCCTCTTCAACTCCTTTTCTCCTTATTTCTCTTTCTTCAGATTGTTAACAGTTTGGTGTATAGCCTTTCAGATATTTTTGTAAAAAGAATTTTTTTTTTTTTTGAGATAGAGTTTCACTCTTGTTGCGCACGCTAAAGTGCGGTGGTGTGATCTTGGCTCACTGCAACCTCTGCCTCCTGGGTTCAAGTGATTCTCCTGCCTCAGCCTCCTGAGTAGCTGGGATTACAGGCATGCACCACCACGCCCAGCTAATTTTTTGTTTTTTAGTAGAGATGGGGTTTCACCATGTTGCCCAGCCTGGTCTTGAACTCCTGACCTCAGGTGTTCTGCCCGTCTCAGCCTCCCAAAGTGCAGGGATTACAGCTGTGAGCCACCATCCCTGGCATATTTTTGTAAATTTATATAAACTGTTTGTTTTCCATAAACTAGGATCATGCTGTATATATTGTTCTATTTACTGACTTTCCAACTCATCAAAATGTCTTGGAGAGCTCTGTCTGCACCTGCAAATCTCTCCCAGGGCTTGGCACACTATGGTCCTTGGGCTGAATTAGGCCCACAGCCTGTATTTGTAAATTTTTTTTTTTTTTTTTTTTTTTTTTTGAGACAAGGTCTCGCTCTGTTTCCCAGGCTGGAGTGCAGGGGCTCGATCTCGGCTCACTGCAACCTCTGCCTCCTGGGTTCGAGTGATTCTCCTGCCTCAGCCTCCCAAGTAGCTGGGATTACAGGCGTGCACCACCATGCCCAGCTGATTTCTGTATTTTTAGTAGAGACGGGGTTTCACCATGTTGGCCAGGCTGGTCTCAAACTCCTGACCTCAAGTGATCTACCTGCCTAGGCCTCCCAAAGTGCTGGGATTACAGGCATGAGCCACCGTGCCAGGCCTGTAAATAAATTTTTATTGGAACACAGTCACATCCATCGTCTATGGTTGCTTTTGTGCTACAAGGACAGAGTCCAGTAGTCATGACAAAGACCTGATGGGCTGCAAAGCCTAACATACCATTGGTTCCTTTGCAGAAAAAGTTTGGCAACCTCTGATCTGTCCTATATTCTCTCTCTCCTTTTTTTTTTTTTTTTTGGAGACAGAGTCTTGCTCTGTCACCCAGACTGGAGTGTAGTGGCTCAATCTCGGCTCACTGCAACCTCTGTCTCCCAAGTTCAAGCAATTCTCCTGCCTCAGCCTCCCAAGTAGCTGGGATTACAGGCACTGCCACCATGCCCGACTAACTTTTGTATTTTAGTAGAGATGGGGTTTCACCGCATTGGCCAGCTGGTTTCCAACTCCTGACCTCAAGTGATCCGCCAGCCTCAGCCTCCTAAAGTGCTGGGATTACAGGCATGAGGCACCGTGCCTGGCCCTTATATTCTCTCTTTATTATCAGCCTATCCATCTATATACTATACAAAATATACTATATTTTATGGATGGATATTTAAATTGCTTTCAATTTTTCCAGAATATAAACAAGTTCACAATAAATAAGTACGAAGGATCATTTTAGAATTCCTTTTTTTAAGCCACTGTGGGTGCCTGACTCATATTGATATTCAATAAATATTTGTTGACAAACTGCTTTTGTATGAATCACATATCAAACACAGTAGCTTGCAGAATTCAGTCAAATGAACTTTGTTGATTGACTTCATATAAGATCAAGGACTTAAGGGTACAATTATTTATGATTAAATGTAAAAAACAAATCCAGTGTGAAGTCATTAAGACTTTCTAGACTGAAGCTCTCCCCTTACTAATGCAGACAACAGAGTAGAAGCCATCTTATTCCTTTATAAACAATTATAAATCAGGACAATATGCTGAAATATTTGAAAAAATCCATGAATACCTTTCAATGACTATTTCCATGCTTTAAATTTTACTCAGTTGTTTTTAAATCTACCCATTAGTTGTTACGTCTTTTTCTTCCATTATAGATTCTATTCGTTTCATCCTTTTAGTAATTTTCTTTCTTTTTTTGAGATGGAGTCTCGCTATGTCACCCAGACTGGAGTGCAGTGGCGCGACCTCAGCTCACTGCAACCTCCGCCTCCCGGGTTCAAGAGATTCTCCTGCCTCAGCCTACTGAATAGCTGGGATTACAGGCGCACGCCACCAAGCCTGGCTAATTTTTGTATTTTTAGTAGAGACGGGGTTTCACCATGTTGGTCAGGCTGGTCTTGAACTCCTGACCTTGTGATCCACCCACCTCAGCCTCCCAAAGTGCTGGGATTACAGGCGTGAGCCACTGCGCCCGGCCCCTTTTAGTGATTTTCAACATCTCTTGCTTGTACATCCCCTAATTCTTCCTCATGGTGGTTTACTTCCTTATGTGGCATCTATGTATCTTTTATCATGAGCTCGGCTTCATAGGATTTTATTCCTCCTGCCGTAGCCTTGGGTATACTGATTTGTCAACCTAACCCAATGGAGCAGTTCTACATCTGCTACAGGCTGGGTCCCTCAAGGATCTGTCATTCCTAAACTGGAATTTCATGTAACCTCTTGTGAAAGTTTCTTAGCCTGAAGTTCTAGCACATACAGACGGTGTAAACTTGGACTCCAGATTCATCAATTCTCACTCAGGGACCTGGGGAGACTGTAAGGTTCCTTTCTGCTTCTGAAGGCCACTGGGTAGAATTTTCCAAGGCCCTTCATCATGGATGTTAGTCTTAAAACAGCATTTCTTATACAGGGGTCTCAGTCCCAGCTCCCACTACATACCCTGAGGCCGCATATCTTGACCCCAAATGAGGGGGCATGCTCTTTACTGCTCTGAGTTCCCTCAGGAATTTTCTATTTGGCAGGTTCAGCTATGTATTAATTTTTTAAAAAATAGATTTTATTTAGCATTTTATATTTTATAGCAGAAGGCAGGTATCTAGTCTGCTTTACTGATGAAGTTCCCTGAATATTAATTTCATACTGCCAATCAAGAAATACAGCCTCTTCCCGTTTTTCTGAGATCAGTGCTCTCCAAAAGAAGAACTGGCACACTGCAAGGAGGGATGTAAAAAACAATCCCTTGGAACACAGGAGGAAGATTTTACAGCTCTTATTTAAAATGACTCCTTAACGTAGAAGAAAAATTGAGTTAATGTCTAATTGATAAGTGGGTGCCTCGCTCAGTCTTTATGTTAGGCAGCCTCACTTTATATGTGACACTAGAGGTTTCTTAAGGGAGCGGGGTATTCTTCACTCAGGAGATGGGCTGGGCATGCATAATCCACATTTGTTTACTTTCAGCATGTTGTGATGAATGGAAACATACAGGTATCCAATAAAGTGGGCTTATGGATTATATTACCTGGTTTCCACTAAAATCAAATGAAAATGATGAGAGTTACACAAATTCCTTCAAAGAAGTCATGAATCAAAGACAATACTAATCATACTAATAACTAACCAGAAAACAAGAAAATGGCAATTCTGAGACTTATTTTTAGAATGAGCTCTTGGAAAGTATGGCACAGTAGGACTTGTATGTAATTTTTATGTTATGTATGTATCCTATGTGAGTATGCTAAAAATGTTTTAATAATAGGTGAACATGCTATAAAATGCTTGGTGATTACTGCTCTAGGCAACCAGGTTATTCCAGTACTAAGAAGCTAACTGTGTCCAATGGCTAAAAAACTAAACTATAGACCTCCGACTGGTGTCCCAGAAGAGTCCTATTAGAACCTGGGTTCCAAAATAAACACTGGAGGAATACTGAACAGTGACAGTCTCTTGTTTCCTAGAGGTTACATGAAATTATTATTATGTGGTAGTGGCTCTCAATGGTCTGGTAAGTCACAAATGAAGGATGACATTAATGTGTGTGATCTCTGCCCACAGGGATGCATGAGGATTCGGGTGAGAGCTCTCATGGTTTTTGGTTACTTTTGAAAAAATAGGACAGTAAAACAAATAGTGTTGCTGACTACTTTGGGGGTGTAACATCCAATAAAAATCATTTTACATGAATGTGTGTCATAAAGTCAGTCATATCAAAAAGTCACAGGAACTGTAGCACAGATTAGACAGGCTGTGTGCTAGCTGTAACTCCACTCCTCCTCTTCCAAGCAAGAAAGTGAGTGAAAATCATCACAGAAGTAACTTCCAATCTGTCCAAATACACGTTTTTTTGTGTGTGTTTTTTTGAGATGGAGTCTCACTCTGTTGCCCAGGCTGGAGTGCAATGGCACGATCTCAGCTCACTGCAACCTCCCCTTCCCAAGTTCAAGCAATTCTCCTGCCTCAGCCTCCCGAGTAGTTGAGGTTACAGGCACGTGTCACAAAGCCCAGCTAACTTTGTATTTTTAGTAGAGACGGGGTTTCGCCATGTTGGCCAGGCTGGTTTCGAATTTCTGACTTCAGGTGATCCGCTCACCTCGGCCTCCCAAAGTGCTATGATTATAGTCGTGAGCCACCACGCCTGGCCCAAATACACTTTTAAACATTTCAAATTTCTACCAGGCACAGTGGTGCATGCCTAATACCAGCTACTCAGGAGGCTGGCTGAGCCAGAAGATCACTTGATGTCAGGAGGTCAAGACTTAGCCTGGGCAACTAGTGAGACCCTGTCTCAAAAAAAAAAAGAAAAAAAATCAGATTTCAGTAAGTTAACTATTTTTAGTAAGAAATTACTTGGGATATCCAACATAAATGACTGAAAACAAGATTTCAGGACATCATGGTCTGAGAGTTGCTCCTTGACATCTGAATTCGTCACTATAACATCTGAATTGGTTATAGATATAGTATCATGTTAATTACCTCAGCCTTCCGGGTGACTGGACTGGCCCTGGACTGGCTGGAACTCCAGACTGTCACCTCTGACCAGAAGCAGCCTCCTTGATTTACCCTGGTATGCTCTACAAATACTACTTTTGATCTGTGCACTGACAAAATTTTGAGATGCACTGCCTTACAGCAAAAACGTGCAAATTATGGTCTGTGGGCTAAATGTGGCTTGAAGCCTATTTTTGTATAGCCCATGAGCTAAGAATAATTTTTACATTTTAAATAGTTTTTAAAAATCAAAAAACTATTACATAACAAAAATTTTATGAAATTCAAATTTCAGTATCCATAAGTGAAGTTTTATTGGAATCACACTCATTGGTTTATGTATTGCTTACGGCTGCTTTTGCACTGCAACTGCAGAGTTCAAGAATTGTGACAGAGACCATGTGGGTCACGATGCCTAAGATACTTTTTATCTGGTCTTGTACAGAAAAAGTTAAGCAACTCCTGCCTGAGAGTGTCTTATCAAAACCAGGAACAATGCTCAGTTAGCAGACTTGGCTTTCAGCAGGTCAGCACAGAATGTCCCTGAGCACGGAGGTGCTCTCCCTTGGCCGTCACTATGGCTTAATGTTGGTAATGGCTGAAGCATATACCAAAGTAATAGAATAAAAATGAGCACATATGATCTAACAGAAGACCACTGAGTAGCTTTAGGGTTTGGGGTTATGGATAATTTTGATGCTGACACAGACTTTTAAAACGTGCAGTGGTTTAGAGATCATAGAACAGAGTGCAGATGCTCCTCATCCTTTCAATGAGGCTACATCCACATAAACCCATGGTAAATTGAAAATACTATTAAGTCAAAAATGCATTTAAATACACCTAACCTTCTGGACATCATAGTTTAGCCTGGCCTATCTTAAACATGCTCAAAACACTTACATTAGACTATAGTTGGCCAAAATTATCTAGCACAAAGCCAGTTTTATGATAAAGTGTTGACTATCTCATGTAATTTATTGAATACTGCACTAAATGTGAAAAACGAAATGAGTGTACCAGCACTCAAAGTACAGTTTCTACTGAACGTGTATTGCTTTTGAACCACTGTAAAGTTAAAAAGCTAGGCTGAACCATCTTAACTTGACTGTATTTGAAATTGGGGCTGTCTGAAAAAAATATAGGCTGTATGTTATACATCTAGAATTTCTTTCTTTTATCATGTCTAAAGAAAGATATAAAAAGGGTTACTTCTCCACATAAATGAGGAACAGATAATGAGTGGGGACAGGAAACAAGAAATGAGCTTTCTTGAGCCAAGAGAGTTCCATCTTACGAGAGGAAGAAGCATGTCTCTTACTTGCACAAGTATAGGCATCTTTGTTGGTGAAGGGCTTCATACACTGGCTACAGCTGATGGGACCCACAACAGGAATGGAACTGAAAGTGTGCCCGTTGACAGTCTTCTTATCTTTCTCCTTGTCTTTAGAATCTTTCTCCTTCTCCTTAATCTTATCTTTTTCTTTTTCCTTTTCCTGCCGAAGAAAAGAAAATAATCCACAGTTAATTGAACACTGGAGGGCTTTCTCCTTACCTGGGCACCCAGATGGCATGTGGTTAACAACAGCTGGTGACTATTTTGGAAAGGAGTGAGAAACAAAGTTCTGGGCAAAGTGTTTTGTTTTGTTTTTTTAAATTAAGGCGTTGGCACGCAAGCTACATTAGAAAATTCACACGAAAACTGGGCAGGCGGAACAGTTCTGGCAGTGGCTTATTCATTGGTTACTTCTACCAACAGACACAATACCCAAGGACCAGCACTGCAAGGAGGCTTCTGACACCTCAGTACAGCCCTTCCTCAGCAAGCTACAGCACAGTCCACACAGGAAGAGAGTCATGGGTTTAGGGCCAGCTTTAGGCAGAGGGCAGAAAAAAGGGTGGCAGCAATTCTGGGATCAGCCTGAGGGAAAAAAAGATGCCTGGGTGGCATGAAAAATTACCGAGGCTCCTCTCTTTCTCACATCAATTGCATATCCCTAAGTGACGGAGTATGTATAAAGTCTCCTCCTTTACTCTAGTTAGAAATATTAAATATGCCCCACATATACATTTTCAGTTTCTGCTAATTAGAATTTTAAGGTTTGTAAATATTAACTTTGCCCTAATTTTCAAACCGGCAAGAGGAGACTGATAAGAAGGGGAGGCTGGAAAACCGTACAGTGGTTAAGAATACGGACGATGGTACCAGACCTCGGTTCAGATTCAGGTACTACTACCACTACTACCACTACTGCCACCACCACCACCACCACCATCACCACCACCACCACTACTACTACTCAGTAATAGCGTGACCCTAGGTAAATTATTTCTCTGAGCCTTAGTTTTCTCATTTGTCAAATGGGAGTAATCACAAAAGTACCCATCTCATATGTTTTTTAAAACATATGACAATTAGGTGAGATAATACATTTCTAAAGCATTTTGCACAGTGCCTGGCACACAGTGAATACACAATAATGCTTAGCAATATTATTAATTACTCATAATTTACTGGAAATGAGTTTCATTAGCTCATTATTCTCCTAAGCCAACACAGAAAGGTATTGCTTGCAGTAAGGGAAAGGAAGTTTTGATGTGAGCAGGGAAGATAGAAGAAATTGGGGAGTGGCTAAAGGACAACGGTGCAGGGCAGGGAGGATAGGAGAATGCACGGATGACAGGAAGGAGCCTTGTTAATAATTTTTCTCAAAAACCACCTTTGTTGTTCCTCAAGCTAGATACCAACAGGGTCACTTCCTTTAAAAAAATGGGGTTCCAGGGAAAGGAAGTCCCAAGGCTTAGTAGCTCACTCCTCTACCCTGAGTACCTAGGGGTGCAGGAAGGCAGGAAAAGCAGGCAGTGTCCCTAGGTTGGAAAGATAAGCTTCCTACGCCGTGCTCTCTGACCTCTTTTGTGAAGCTCCTTTCTTTCCTGTGGTCTTCCCTCACTTGTCAGAGTGGCAACAGAAACTGATACTCATCTTGTGCTTCCTGTGTGCCCAGCCACTGCCCAGGTGCTTCTACTTACTGAGCAGGCCAAAACCGGGCTAGGTACAAAGCACAGGGGACACCAGCAAATGAGACATGAGACTGGGTGAACAGTGGGGGCACTGGGCTGAGAGTCAGGAGCTCTAAGTGCCAGATTAAGTTGGCCATGTCACCTTAAGAATACTGCAGGAATGTCAGAAATGTTCTAGAGACAGACTGAAAGCAGAGGACTCATATGACATCAAGCCTCAATCTAAGAGAGGCTGTTGTCAAAGCTTACACAGTCATGAAGAGGAACGGAAAGGAATTCAAACACTGAAAACTTGAAGAACTACTGATGAGTGGTGGGTCCTTAATGAAATATCTAAAGCAGTCAGGGACATTTCAGGTGGACACCATCCTTAGGAGGCCAGGACCATGGGGATATAACCATGCTCTCCATAAAAGGTCCTTTAGAAGCACTGTTTGGCAGAGTACTTGGCTGGCTTATCAGTATCAATGAAATAATTTCCTTTCAAACCAACTGGACTACAAAGACCTACCATTCACAAGGTAAGAGGTTTTACCTATTGTCAATACCATTGTTATGTCCTAAAAAAATTCCAGGAAAATGGGTGTCCCAAGTCAGTGATCATGACAACTACTAAATGCCTTAACATTTTGAATCAATGTCTTCTACATACATCATTTCGTCTGACTCAATAACTCTGAAGTGGGCAGGGTGAGCATTATGCTTCCCATTTTACAACGTAGAGGATAAAGATAATAAATAACAGCTAAAAATCTGAACAGTTACTACGTGCTAAGCACTGTAGTAAGCAATTTACATGTATTTTCTCACAACAACCCAATGATAATACTAGGTATTATCTCCATTTTACATCTGAAGAGATTGAAGCTTAGAGATGTTTAATAATGCATTTGAGGCCACACGCCAATAACTGCTCAAGCTGAAATTAAGATTCAGATCTGGCTGACTGTAAAGCTCAGCTCTCATACACTGCACTATGCTGCCAGGGACTGGAGAGGTTGGTTGACTTGCAAAAGGTCACACAACAGATGATCAGCACAGTCAAAATGGGAACCCAGGTCTTCTGACTTTCTGTTCAGAACCCAACCACTGTAATGAAATGGTAAATAATTGCTAGATCTATGATTCATGTGAAGTCTTTTGTTAATCAAATACATATAATGAACATCTAAGAGCCAAATTACTACACTTTTGAACTATAAAAAATAATGAGAGAGGAAGGGAGAAAAACTCCTTCACTTTACAAAACAGGAAGCTGTTCTGAGTGAAAATTGGTAATCACTAAAGTACATAAAACTTTAGTAATAATCAACAACTAAATTTGGGTTTTTTCAAATAATTTCTTTCTTTTAACTAAATTTTGCTAAAGGTTTTTCCATGCATAAAATGTTAAATGGAAAAGCATCTGATTTTTTTGCTCAGGAAAGTTAAATTATACTTCAATCGTTTAAAAAATCTTTTTATGGCAACCAGCTTATCCTCTCAAGCCTTGCAATGCTCTTCAAACCTGAATAAATAAGAAATAGCTTCCCTTTGCAACAATCCAAATTAGTTCTTCCCAGGATGGAAACAAAACAAAACAACCAACTCCACTGGCTCTTTCTGTGTTTACTAGAATTTAGTGCTTTAAAGAAGTCAGGCTCTTACCTCCCCATGCTTTGGTCCTATGAATCTCACTGTTATGTGGGGTACTTCATGAAACCGAGCCCATTTTATCGACATGATTCGACCCCCATGCCAGGAAGCGTGCTCTCACAGAAGCGGGGGCGCATGCCGTCAGGGCAGAGCTCAGCAGCTTTGAGCTGCCATTAGTGAAATCGTAAGAGGAAGCCAGAGACTGGCTGAGAAAGGGAAGGAGGGAGGGCTGAGGCTGCTTGTTTCCTTAAGACAGTCTTAACTGTTTGAATGCTGCTGCTAAAGCCAACAACCCTTGTTACAAAGGATACAGGAAATGAAACGAGACCTCACTCCCCCCAAAAACAGTGTGTGTGGACAGTGCTTAAGCAGCAATATAAGAACTCTAGCAAGGTTTGAGGCCAAGTTTTTACACGGGAAGTTAAGGAACACATCTTACCTATTTTAAAATAGACTCCTCATTTTGTAAAATGCAGTGAGTTTCATAAGAAAACTTTTCAGTGAAGTTGCCTGGTGTAAAGTGGTGACTAGTTATTTTCTGAAGTTTGACTTTTCCATGTTTAACAACTGGCAAAATGCTTTAGCTGTGTGCTGGAGAAACAGGCTAACGGTATTTAACAGGGATAGATGCAGGTAACAACTGCACTAGGACACTATCAAAGGTGATTCTTCACTTTTCCAAAAATACCCCTTTATACATGTAATTACAATAAAAAGAACACTCTGGACAACTGTGAAAACATGATATGATCAAACAACTGTCATGTTACAGATCTTTAATCAAAGAAGGAATGAGAATTACATTTAAAATTAAGTCTTTGTAAACACTACTCTAGGAGGCACTTCTGAAAGGCCTATGGGTACAGCTCTTTTTTATACAGACCACAGGACCTAGGAGCTGTAACTGAATGTCCTGTTACAAAGTCATGTAGTATACTTGCAGCTGTGCAGGAATTTAACCTGTGCACTCAAAAATACCTACTTCAAATCAAATAGATTTGTCTAAAACATTTCTAACCACCTCTTGTTTGTCTACAAAGAGGAAAGCTTAGTATTAGGTTGGTGCAAAAGTAACTGTGGTTTAGAAAAAAGAAAACCAGTGTGATAGGATGGTTTGAAGAGGGTCATTCCACACTCCCTTTGTGAACTCGAACACCATGCATATGAGTGTTTAAATACTCTGTAACACGCAAAATTACTTAGCAGGAAACAGCACTATCTCTCAAAGATACTAAGACAAAAGCAGAAACTGCCAGTCTTCCTGCTATACTTCCTGTTTAGCATCCCCTCTCATCTTCCACAAACACATTCAATATATTTATCTAATCTAATCACTTATGCCAGTCGGTGATAATTCTCAAAAGGACATAGGATCAAGGACTCAATTTCTTAAGTTTATATACAAAACCCAGTGATCCAGACAAAATATGTTACCCTCCTAGGAATGTGAACAGTTTACTGCCTACTGGCTTTTGGCTTCTTTGGACATGTTTAAGAACTGTTTATCATCACAATTATACAACTGAATGGAATATATCTAGGTTAATCACTATAACCTATTTTCATAAAGATATATATATCATGCAAAAGGAAAGCAGACATTTTCAAATAATCCTTAGACACTTCTCTAAGAGTTACAGGTGGCATTTTAATATTATATTCGGTAGATGCTTAAATTTTTCCTTTAAAAGATGTAGGTCTAGTTTTATTGTATGGTAGATTAATAAAACAATTGGATCAGACGGTCTCTCACAGCATCTATTTAAAAAATAATTTTTAAAAACTGAAAATTTATCATTTTCACAGAAAAATCAGTGTCAATATCCATAGTAGCACTTTCAATTTGTTAACATTATGGAGAAGTAACATTATTCAATAGTTAAGAACAAGATTAGAGTTAGCATCACTATGTTAAGAAAATTTAATATTCATTAATTTTTATGTTACCATTTAGAAAATACAGTACTTCTGCATGGTAAAATGCTATGCAGATACATAGCAGAGTGAGGGTATTTAACACAAAATATACTGCTTTACTATTTCCCCTATTTCTTTCCTCTCTCTCTCTTTTTTTTTTTTTTTTTTAAGAGACAGGGTCTTGCTCCATTGCCCAGGCTGGAGTGCACACAGCGTACTGCAGCCTTGAACTCCTCGGCTCAAGTGATCCTCTTGCCTCAGCCTCCTGAGTAGCTAGGACTACAGGTGTGTGCCACTACGCCCAGCTAATTTTACAATTTTTTTGTAGAGATGAGGTCTCACTATACTGCCCAGGCTGACCTTGAACTCCTGGTCTCAAGTGATCTTCTCATCTCAGCCTCAAAGTACTGAGATTACAGGTGTGTACCACTGTGCCCCACCCCCACCTTTTAAAAAATCATCTTTTGCTACATTGACAAAAGCCAAGCTGTTCCAATTTTATTTAAAAGTGAGCTAGTAACACCTCACTATAAAAGGTGACTTACAGTTGCCACTAGGGCACTCTAAACACTTGGTAATGGGAAATGGACTACAATTCAGGGTTACAAATTTGTAATTTTTTGAGTTTCCACTGCTAAAGACAGCACGACCCCAAGAGATCAAATCTTGAAGCCAAGTCTGAAAGAGGAACCAATCTCAATTGCAAAAAAGTGTTGTCATTTTGACAAAGGAGATGATCAGAGACAAGAGGTCAACTGATACTAAAAGTTTCTACCAGTGATCACAGATTTCGGTCTAACACAAAATATGTTTTCTCCTGTCCTTTCTGCTCATCTCCTCCTAGCAAACTCCAGTCCTTTCAGATTAAAAAAGTTAAAAGAAAAAAATTACGCTGTATAGTAACATTTTGTTTAAACACAAAATGATGAGTACTACTTCCTGGAAGTCAGATAACAGGAGGTTGTGTGAGGTTGTGTGAGGTTGTGTGACATGAAGCATACATCTCTGTGCCTCAGTTTGTAAAATAAGGAGGCTAGGCTGAGGGCTGAGACTTTTTTAAAGGTCAGGGTCCAGTTTCTAAATTCCATCTTACGTTGTTTTTTTTCCTATCATGTGTATGTTTTACCTTATCCATGAGATGAGTGGTACATTCACTGCTCTGTCCTAAAACTCCATGACATTGGGGAGATGGCTAGAAAGGGGGAATCTCCACTTATTTATTGGTCTTCCACGAAAAGCTTGTTTGAAGACAAGATTCAGTAGTTTTAAAGCAAAATAAAAAACAATGAAAACATTTTGAATTCATCCAAACTAGATCATAAAGTTTTTCAAGGTCAGGACTATGAGCTTTAGTTCTCTTAGGTGCCTGTTAACACCTAGTGGAATGCTAAGACTATACAAAGCATTTAATAATACTTGGCTAATTTATATTGCTCTGTCCAAGGGGATTTTCTTTTGTTGATACCAACTAGTATCCAAGCCGGCAGTGGTAAGTAAAAAAGGTAAGGCTCTATTTTAAGCCTGGCTGCCAATATGTAAATACGTAGAATACTGGTAAAGCAGTATTCTTTGACCTTCATTTTTTTTTTTTTTGGAATTATAAAACAAGGCTGAGTCTGAAGTTAAATGTGTGATTATGCTAGAAATAATTTGCTAGACTCTTTGCATCTCTCCCTGATTGCCTACTTTCTCTCCATTCTGTACTTGCACAGGAGAAATGAAAACACAATTCTTGTGGCACGTTTGGTGGAAAAATTTCTTTGAATGTATTTGCTAAACCAAGAGATCTTACAAAACATGGTAAAATACTTTGGCTATATTTCCATCAGCCCACTGAAGTGAGGGCTTGAGAAGCTTAGTGCACCTTGTTTTGTGAGGGAGGAGGCAATGCCCTTTTATGACAATATTCTTGAATTCAATGTTTGTTTATTCCCTTACTTCTAAATATGCATGTATCTACGTGTGTATATATCTGTATGTACATGTATATACCACACACACACACACATGCATGCACGTGCACACACACACATACACACACACACACACACACAGTGATTCCTTGCAAGAGTTCCTTAACTGATTTCAAATTTTTATTTACTTATGTCTTTATTTTGTTAGAGGGTGTTGTGGGTAGATGAACAGGGTGTGAGAGGCGAAAAGTTTTTCCCCACGGACTTGAAATGGAATCAGTTTTGGTTTAGCACTGGGAATCAGTATAAGAAAGTGAACTTCTTTTCTCCCTTTCTTTTGAAAATACATTTTTAAAAAAGATTAGAAATATATAAACCAAAACATTAAGTGTAGTTATCTCTAAGCGGGGTTATTCCAGGAGATTTTCATTCTTTTACTTTTAGATTTTGAAGATTTCCATAATGAGCATGTGAAAAATAATTAGATAAAAAATGTTACTTTAGGCTGGGCACGGTGGATCACACCCAGGGCTTCGGAAGCCTGCAGCGAGAAGAGTGTTTGAGGTAAGGCATTAGACCGGCCTAGACACAACAGCAAGACTTCATCTTTACAAACAAATTTAAACATAGCTCAGCACGATGGCACAACATGACTGTAGCCCTGGCTACTCGGGAGGCTACGGTGCGAGGCAGGAAACTGCTTAAGCCTGGCAGTTCAAGACTGCAGTGAGCTATGGTCACGCCACTGTGCTCCAGCCTGGGTGATACAGTGGAGCCTTACACACACACACACACAGACACACACACACACACACACACACACACGGTTTAAACATTTATTTAATCTCTTAATCACTAAGAGAATATATTCCAAATGCTCCTAATTAGAAATAGATCTAAGAAATCATATTAGTCTTAAAAGTTCTTGTAATCTTCTGTGGGATAATCCTTCCCTCTAAAGCCAAATATAAATATTTTCAATCCTTTGATCTTTGCATAAAATCCTTCTGTTGCATTTAAACTGATATTACAGATTTAAGCACTGTGGTTTAAGAGTATGGGATTTGAAACCAAAGAGATCTGGTTTGAACTACTTCTTCACATTAGAGGAGTATCCTCGGTAAGGTACATCACTTTTAGAAAAGAGAGATAACACCTACCTGACAGGGTTGTTGAAAGGGTTAAATAATATATGGAAAGCACTTAGCATATAGTGAAAACTCAGTAACTGGTAGTTCCACTTCTTGCTATTTTTCTTCTTATTATTTTCCTTTAAATATTAGGCGATTTCGGAGAGTAATCCTGAATTTATTTCCATTTATGTCCCCATGATTTAACCAGTTTTGGTGTGAATGCAGGCTGTGACAGGATCCTACTGAGGTGATCACAAGCAATGCCCACAGTGATACTCACTTTGCTCTTCTTGCTGCTAGACATTTTATTCTTGATGTAGCTGAATGTACGACTGACTTTTGTTCCACTCTTCCATTCAGAATCTTTCTTGGAGGGGCTATGTGGCAGGAAATTATAGTTCTCTTCTGTTATACTAAATAAAAACAAGAAGATTGATTTTTTTTAAAGGGCTACAGAAGTTAAATAAAAGTGAAGCAGAATAAAAGGTAGATGAAGGCTGCTGAATGGCTTTTTATAGAGTATGCCACAACGCCCAGGTTCTGTTATCAAAACTTGGCTAAGTTTCCTTAGATCCGTCACTAATGTTTTCTTGTTCACTTGTCTGTTTTGGAGACAGTCTTGCTCTGAGTGGTGTGATGATAGCTCACTGCAGCCTTGAACTCCTGAGCTCACGCAATCTTCCTGCCTCAGCCTCTAGAGTAAGCTGGGACTAAAGGCACATGCCACCACGCCTGGCTATTTTTCAAATTTTTTTGTAGAGATGGGGTCTTGCTATGTTGCCCAGGCTGATTTTGAACTCCTGGCTTCACACAATCCTCCCACCTCAGCCTCCCAAAGTGCTTGGATTACAGGCGTGAGCTACCGCCTGGCCCATTTTTAATGTTTTAATTATGGATTTTCAGTGACCTCATGTTAAAAAGAGCCTGTCAATTATTCAGTAATTATTTTATATGGAATCTATTCATCTACAATAGCATTCAATCTACAAACTCCTTTGTAACAAATGGGTGCTTGAAAGGAAACCCATATATGTAGCAGAATGACAGGGTACTTGTTAATAGGAGTTGCAAACCAAGGAATCTTATGACTGACCACATATCCAAGTTCCTTAACGGTAGAGATCACAACTTTTTTCTAGCCTTTGGCACACGGGACAATCAGGACTGTGGACTGGTCCATGCAGCTAGGTTCAATTTTAGGAGGGAACTTACTGAGGAGCAGACAGAATTGAGGCACAGTGTTGAAAGATCAATTTTAGGAGTTTTATGTAGATTCAGTGATCTACCTGTTCAAGAAACCTACATAAAATCTAAGTCCATCCAAGATGGGCATGTTCTAACTTAGGTAATTTGCAATGGTTGATTTTCTTAAATGCTGGGCATTTGGGGCAGGTGCGGTGCTCACACCTGTAATCCCAGCACTTTGGGAGGCCGAGGTGGGCGGATCACGA